>NC_000012.12:42308612-42460128 GCF_000001405.40 Homo sapiens | reverse complement strand
AGAATGCTGATCTCTACGGACAGTACGCCCATGCCACTTCCGATTATGGCCTGCAGAACCCAGGAATGAATCGGTTTCTGGGACTCTACGGCGAGGATGATGATTCCTGGTGTTCTTCCTCCTCCTCCTCTTCCGACTCGGAAGAAGAAGGATATTTTCTTGGACAACCAATCCCTCAACCCCGGCCACAGAGATTTGCCTACTATACAGATGACCTTTCTAGTCCACCATCTGCACTTCCCACCCCTCAGTTTGGTCAGAGGACAACAAAATCCAAGAAGAAAAAGGGACACAAGGGCAAAAATTGTATTATTTCTTAACCAAGTAGTGATGCAGAGCATTTGTTTAAAACTTAGCCATTAACCGTCTGAATCGTTTCCTTTTCTTCCGTAGGAAAGTTGTGAAAATAGTTTAAAGTGCTTTCTTTGCCCATGTAAATGAGAACTCAACTGCTGTTTACAGTGTCAGATTAACATTTGAAAGGTGTGATTTCTCCAATTTACCCTCTTTGGATGGTGCCAGGTGGACGTGACATCTCGTGCCTGTCCGGTGCGGGTGCGTTACAGATGGACGTAGCTGCTTTGGTTTTCCAGTCCTCAAGGGAATACTGAAGATGCTGACTGAAGGGGATTGGATGTTGATTTTAGAAGATGGAGAACTCCAGCCACCTTTGTAAAGCACTAGTGTTTGTCATTTATGTAAGTCAGGTCGGCTCAGGTCTTGATAGTCCGTCTTGGTGTGAGGCATGCCTGTCACGATGACCTAGCTAACACTGTGCATCTTATTGTGAGGCCAGCTTGTCCCCTCGAACCCTCTTTGGCCAGGTAAACATTGTATTGTATCAGCGCCAGCTACAGATTGAAAAAAAAAAACAAAAAACATTGCTATTTATAACTTAGTATTTCATAGACTTAAGTGTATTCCTAATTTAACGGTGCAAATATTAATGTATATACTGTACAGTTCAGATTTTAAAGCTGATATTTTTATATCCCTGAATTGTAAGCCGTTTGTTACGCTGCAGTGCTAGATTTGCCAGGGAACCAGAATTTATGGATGAACTGATTGCTTATATTTTAGTCAGGGTTTATAAATGTAGATGGTCAAATTTACATTGCCTAGTGATGGAAAATTCAACTTTTTTTGATTTTTTTTTCCAATATTAAAAAAGGCTCTGTATGCATGGTGGGGCTATGTAAGTACTCTTTAAAACTATGGCCCTATTAATCTTACAAGTGTTACTTATGGGTCAAGCAATGTAAACTGTATAAATGTAAAAACAACCCCTCCACACACATAACCCCTGGAATATATGGTAAAAACAAGTAGAAGCTGTTTCAGCGAGTGGGTTTTTTCCCCCTGCCTGCGGGGGGTGCCTTTCTCATTTTCAGCAAGGTGATGATTATCTCATGGGAAATGACAAAGATCTGCTTTTGTGGCAGAGGACTTTGTAGATTTGTTATTTTAAGAGAGGTTATTCCTTTTTATTCCTTCCCTCCCACTAATTTGTTGGCCTTTAACAGCAATTTTGAAAACTGGGTCTTCTGGTTATGTTTTTGTTTTAAAATCTTTAAATTAGAGGATGCTGTGCCATTGAGTACTGTAAGTTAATATGAGGTTCTGGTTCAAGGAAAACTTACGTTGGATCTGAACCAATGAGCAGATATTTTGATATGTGCCACTCTTGCATATACATCTCAGTCCTAACTAAAGGTTCTAGTGGCATCCAGGACCTTTAGGGAGGCATTTAATAAACACTTAATAAATAACAAAACTACCTTTCTGAATATAAATCTTTGCAAATGTATCCAGATAACTTCCATTTTGTGCCTGTGTTCAGGCATGATTTATTTTGCAGTTGCCCTACCATTAACAGACCTCCATTTGTCTCGTGTGTCCACACGCCCCACTTGTAGGCCAGAAATAGGGCTTCAGACACAGAGGCTTATTTTTTCCATATAGACTGGAGTGGGGAAAATTTGGCCTTAGGGAGGACAGACACAAGTCCAATGGGTAAACCAGCGAGTAGTAGGTGGACAGCCGTCCCACACAAGGGTTTGTATCTGGGCTACACAGATTCCCTTCAGAAAAGCACCAATGGTGAGAGAGTTCTTCACTCAGTAACTTACATTCCCTGGTCTGGTGCCTTTAAAAAACCATCAGCAATGAAAAGGAAGTGCATACACATGACAAAAAAATTCAAATAGGGCAAAAGTCAGAGACAGCATCTCCTTTCCATTCTTCATCCCAGTCCCCCAGGTCCTCTCCCCAGAAGTAACCACTCTTACCCAGTTTTAGTGTCTCCTTCAGACATTCAAAGCACATTCGTATAAATGTGTCTTTTAAAAGTGGTAGTGACCTATATGTGCTGTGACATGCTTTTTTCCCTTTGTATGTGGACATTTCACGTTAGTGCATATAGGTCTACCCATTCTTTCAGTGACTGCTTAATAGCCTACTCCTAATGATGGAGTTGACTTTCCTCATACATTATGCTACACTGGCACATGTGCACATAAATCGGGAGCAGCGTAGTTACTGGGACAAAGGTTACGTATTTAAGACTGATGGATATTGCCAATTTTCCTCCAAAAGAAATTCTCCTGATTTACATTAATGTAATGTAAATGAGAGTGTTTGTTCCATCACAACCTCTCAATGTATTAGCAGATTTCTTGATTTTGAAGAAATTTTCAGAACCTGTGCTGCCACAAGTGGGCATCCTTTTAGAAAAGACTGTTGCAATATGTTGCTTATAAAGGATGGATAATAAATAGTAAACAGGTGATACTTAGCCTGAAGAAATGCAGGTATAAGGTGAAGGTACTGCCCTCACTTTTCAAGTACATTCTCAAAAGATAGGGGTAACATAGCCTGCCAAAGGCTTAAGGAAATGCAGATATTTATTCACAATAATAATGTGACTTTCTTTTCCTTTTTTTTTTTTTTTTGAGATGGAGTTTCGCTCCTGTTGCCCAGGCTGGAGCGCAACGGCACAATCTCAGTTCACTGCAACCTCTGCCTCCCGGGTTCAAGCAATTCTCCTGTCTCAGCCTCCGGAGTAGCTGAGATTACAGGTGCCTGCCACCATGCTCGGCTAATTTTTTATATTTTTAGTAGAGACAGTGTTTCACCAAGTTGGCCAGGCTGGTCTCGAACTCCTGACCTTCAGGTGATCCACCTGCCTCAGCCTCCCAAAGTGCAGGGGATTACAGGCATGAGCCACTGCGTCTGGCAATAATGTAACTTTGAAGCTTAAAAATTAATCCCAGTTTGTAGCAATAACAGAAGACTATCTACAACGGAAGAAAGAAGCAACTGCCTTACAGTTCTGTAAAGAATTGGCAAGAAAATAAAGCCTATAGTTGCCGACTTAGTCTATTCTCACATTACTACAAAGAACTGCCGAGACTGGGTAATTTATAAAGGAAAGAGGTTTAACTGACCCAATTCCACATGGCTGGGGAGGGAGGCCTTAGGAAATACAATCATGGCAGAAGGGGAAGCAAACACGTCTTACATGGCAGCAGGTGGAGAGACCCTGTGAAGGAAGCAGAGGGGGAAGAGCCCCCTTATAAAACCAACAGATCTCGTGAGAATTCACTATCATGAGAACAGAGTGGGGGAACCGGCCCCATAATCCAATCATTTCCCTCCCTCCACAGGTGGGGATGACAATTCGAGATGAGATTTGGATGGGGACACAGAGCCAAACCATATCATTCCACCCTGGCCCATCCCAGTTGCTCTAAAAGTTGTTACTAGATCTACTTAACAAGAGTTCAAAGTATCTGGTCAGTCACTAAACTCCAAAATTGGGTCTTGAGATAAATAGGAATTTTTTTTTTTTTTTTTTTTTTTTTTTTTCTGAGACAAAAGAGTTTTGCTCTTGTTGCCCAGGCTGGAGTGCAGTGGCGAGATCTCGGCTCACTGCAACCTCCGCCTCCTGGGTTCAAGCGATTCTTCTGCCTCAGCCTCCCAAGTAGCTGGCATTACAGCCATACGCCACCACCCCAGCTTATTTTGTATTTTTAGTAGAGACAGGGTTTCTCCATGGTTGTCAGACTGGTCTCAAACTCCCGACCTCAGGTAATCTGCCCACCTAGGCTTCCCAAAGTGCTGGGATTAAAGGTGTGAGCCACTGCACCCAGCCTGATAAATATCAAATGTTAAAATGCTGCATCTGGCCGGGCACGGTGGCTCATGCCTGTAATCCCAGCAATTTGGGAGGCCAAGGCAGGCAAATCACGAGGTCAGGAGTTCGAGACCAGCCTGGGCAACAGGGTGAAACCCCGTCTCTACTAAGAAAACAAACAAAAAAATTAGCTGGGCGTAGTGGCAGGCACCTGTTATCTGAGCTACTCGGGAGGCTGAGGCAGAAGAATCACTTGAACCCGGGAGGTGGAGGTTGCGGTGAGCCAAGATCATGCCACTGCACTCCAGCCTAGGTGACAGAGTGAGACTCCATCTCAAAAATAAATAAATAAATAAAAAGAAAAAATAAGAAACATTGCATCTAATCTCTACATGGGTGAAGCAGAACCTTAACGGTTGCATTTTCCTCACTTCTCAGCAGTCACCGGAGAACATTTTGCTGAAGGCCTATGGAAGAATACTGGCAAAAAGTCACTGGGAACTCCTTTCAGCTCTGGTTAAAAGGATTCCAAAAAAAAAAGGGTTAATTTTGTGTGTGCATTTGCTGATCTCTATACTCTGCTTTCTTTTCTTTCTTTTTTTTTTTTTTTCTTTTTTTCCTCGCACTATTACCTGGGCTAGAGTGCAGTAGCGCGATCTCGGCTCACTGCAACCTCCACCTCCCACGTTCAAGCGATTCTCCTGCCTCAGCCTCCCAAGTAGATGGGATTACAGGAGCCTGGCACCACACCCGGCTAATTTTTCGTATTTATAGTAGAGACGGGGTTTCACTATGTTGGCCAGGCTGGTCTCGAATGCTTGGCCTTGTGATCCACCCGCCTCGGCCTTCCAAAGTGCTGGGATTACAGGCATGAGCCACCGCACCCGGCCTATACTCTGCTTTCTATTAAATAGTTCCTGAGTTATAAAAGTACCAGAAGAGAAAGGAGATGTCATTTGCTGTCTAACCCTCTCACTTTAGACACAAATCATGTGCCTTATGAAAAGGGTAGTGAAATTGCAATGGGTACCTGAGACTGCTAGATCTGCATGTATGGCATGGGTCCCTTTCAGTTTGGGTGATGGGACCCAGGGCTTTAAATTGTGCTGGAAGTATTGAGTGGACATATTTCAGCAGTGCCCAGAGGATTTCAGAACCACTTATTATTTTTAAGAAGGCTAGTCAAGTGAAGCAGTGGGAGTGGAGAAGGAACAAAGAAATCTGTAACTGGTTGTGATCAATTAGTTGTAAACACCACTGCACTCGAAGCAGCCGATTTCAGAACTTTTTTTTTTGAGATGGAGTCTCTGTCGCCCAGGCTGGAGTGCAGTGGTGCAATCTCGGCTCACTGCAGCCTCTGCCTCCTGGGTTCAAGCGATTCTCCTGCCTCAGCCTCCCAGGTAGCTGGGATTACAGGCGTGTGCCACCACGCCCGGCTAATTTTTGTATTTTTAGTAGAGAGGGGCTTTCACCATGTTGGCCAGGCTGGTCTCAAACTCCTGACCTCAGGCGATTGACCTGCCTCAGCCTCCCAAAGTGCTGGGATTACAGGCGTGAGCCACCGCGCCTGGCCTCAGAACAGTTCTTAACAGTGTGGGCACATTTTGGTCTCTTGGGGTGCTGTTTTCTAATAAACTCCCGACTACTGCCATGGAAAAACAATATTGCTTGACCATCAGATTTTTCAACAGATGCCAGGAATCTGGGTTTTTGTAGGTATCTCCCAGCTTTTAAATGCTAGCAACAAATTTAAATGTTTCTGAAACATTGTTGAACAAAATGAGCCTGTCATTAGCCAGTCTCCAACCCCTGAGTTATAAATTCAGTAGTCTAAGAGCTGATTCCCTTATCTCTTAGAGCTGTTGAGGGGAGGCACAACTAATTCCTGTTTATAGAAATACATGTGACCTTTAGCCAGGTGCAGTGGCTCACACAGGCACGTACCACCACACCCGGCTAATTTTTGTATTTTTTGTAGAGATGAAGTTTTGCCATGTTGACAAGGCTGGTCTCGAGCTCCTGATCTCAAGTGATCCGCCTGCCTCGGCCTCCCAAAGTGCTGGGATTACAGGCGTGACCACACCCAGCCAAGTTTTTTTTTTTTTTTTAATGGGGAAAAAACTTTAAAACCTTAGATAATTTTAGTGATAATGCTGTAGCGTTAGAATACCATCGGCCAGGCGGCCGGGCACGGTGGCTGAGGTGGGAGGATCACTTCAGCTCAGGGGACAGAGGTTGCAGTGAGCCAAGATCGCGCCACTGCACTCCAGCATGGGCAAGAAGAGGGAGAGACTGTCTCACCAAAAAAAACCAAAAACCACACACTTATATTCTGCTACTTTTGTAGAATAGACTCTAGTATACTATATTGGATGCCATTTAAAATATTTTAATTTTAGGTTTAATACACTAAATATTTCATAGAACTCTGAGAAGCACCAAATTTTTCCATTATTTCACTATCTGAATCTTGCTATGTTACCTAGGCTGGTTTCAAACTCCTGGGCTCAAGCGATCTTCCTGTCTCGGCCTCCCAGAGAGGGGCTCCCAAAGTGCTGGGATTACAGGCGTGAGCCACCATGCCTGGGCTGGAGCTGTTTTAGAAAACACCGTTGTGATTGGTAAGGAGGAGCTGCTTGGGGGTATGTAGAACAGGGACTTCAGCACCCAAAACCACAGCGCAGCCAGGGACTCAGTCTCTGGCTGCTGCACCAGTACACATGGTGGAGTTTGAGAAGAGCCGTTTAAGTAGAATGAACCTGGTAATTTAACTCTCCTATTTAGGAACCAACATTAATTAAACATAGCACCTTTTCAGCTTTGCTTACAACATGTTCAGAGATTCAAGACTAAGATTGCTGCTGATAGGACTCTGAGAGGTAGGGAAAAAAAATCTTACTTTTCATCCTGGTAACCGGGGAGAAATAACGTGGAGTAAAATATCTTGCCCTCCACATACTCTGTAATTGTCTCCAAACTGTCTACTTAATGGCGATAAAGCCAACTTCAAACCTGAAGCATATGCACTGATAGGGAAATAACCATCCTCAAGCTTCTTTTTTCCTTCTTTTTTTTTTTTTTCTTTCGAGACACAGTCTTGTTCTGTCACCCAGGCTGGAGTGCAGTGGTGTGATCCTGGCTGACTGCAACCTCTGCCCACCGGGTTCAAGCGGTTCCCTTGCCTCAGCCTTCTGATCAGCTGGGACTACATGCATGTGTCACCACGCCTGGCTAATTTTTGTATTTTTGGTAGAAATGGGGTTTAACCATGTTGGCCAGGCTGGTCTCAAACTCCTGACCTCAAGTGATCCACCCACCTTGGCCTCCCAAAGTGCTGGAATTACGGGCGTGAGCCACTGTGCCCGGCCTGCTGCTTTTTCTTTATTTAGTTTAACCTCTTGCCCACCCCAAGTCCCAAACATTAATATATATTTTTAAAAGGCTCTCTTTAAAGTTCCCAACTCCCATAATCCATGGTCTTTGGGGGTGGGGGTAGGGTTCCATCCTTTCAGGAATCCTTGCCAGGCAAATATGTTGGTAAGTGAAAGGGAAAAGAGAAACCACACTTTATGCTGAGTAGGAAGGCTCCTGCTAACCTAATAAATTCAGTCCAGTCACCACAGAACACTGAGGCTGGAAGGAAGCCTTTGAGCTGGTCTGGCACTCTCATTTTACAGAGTGGAGATAGAGCACTTAACCTGCATGAG
Organism: Homo sapiens; assembly: GCF_000001405.40. Lineage (NCBI taxonomy): Eukaryota > Metazoa > Chordata > Mammalia > Primates > Hominidae > Homo > Homo sapiens. Next base: position 42,452,286 of record NC_000012.12, on the reverse strand, counting down.
CTAATGAGAGAGGAGGGTCTCCTAACCCACATCTGAATCCTGGAGTCCAGTGTGCTTCACACTAGCCACTCTGCAAGATCAGCTTTGTGGTGGATTTCTATCAGACTAGGAATTGGCTTTCCTGATGGCAATTGCTTGGTTCCATTATTGAAAAGTGCTAAAACAATTATTAACATTTAAGATTCATACTTTCGGCCGGGCACGGTGGCTCATGCCTGTAATCCCAGCACTTTGGGAGGATGAGGCGGGTGGATCACTTGAGGTCAGGATGTTTGAGACCAGCCTGGCCAACATGGTGAAACCCCATCTCTACTAAAAATGCAAAAATTAGACAGGTGTGGTGGCGAGTGCCTGTAATCTCAGCTATTTGGGAGGCTGAGGCAGGAGAATCACTTGAACCTAGGAGGCAGAGGTTGCAGTGAACTGAGACCGCGCCATTGCACTGCAGCCTGGGCAACAAGAGTGAAATTCTGTCTCCAAAAAAAAAAAAGATTCATACTTGTTTTTTTAAGAGATGGGGGTCTCTGTCATCCAGGCTGCAGTGTAGTGGTGTGATCATAGCTCACTGCAGCCTCAAACTCCTGGCCTTAAGACATCCACTCGCCTCAGCCTCTCAAAGTGCTGGGATTACAGGCATGAGCAACCATGCCTGTCTTAAGGTTCGTATTCCTAATGGTACTATTACCATTGTCTGGAATCTAATGATTTGACAGTAGGTTGCAAGTTGTTTTGAAAGCTGGCATAACAGCACCTTCTGCATATAGCAATAGAGATGTGAAATTTCTTTTCTAAAAAGAGAAGTTGAGACTACACGGAAGGCTGAGGTGGGAGGACTGCTTGAGCCTGGGGGAGGTTCCAGTGAGCCAAGATCGCGCCAGTGCATTCCAGCCTGGACAACAGAGTGAGACCCTGCCTCAAAAAAATTCACACACAAACACACACACACACACACACACACACACACACACACACAAAACCATCAATCTGTGGGAACAGAGCTGAAAAAAAAACATGCTATATAATGAGGCTGTGTCTGCTGCTATACAAATGTTCACAAGGCTGTAACAATACTTACCAAGATTTAAAAGACGGCTTAAAATTCTTAATTCAAAGCCTTTTTTAGAATCAGTCCCTTACCCCAAGATTTCCATTACAATGGAAAAGCAGGAGTGGTGCGGCCTGCTCAGGGCCTACACTGGTGAAGTGAATGCTTAGATGTTATTTGACAAAAATAATCAATAAGTTTGAGCAAAAAGTAAGCTGCTATAACAAGAAACCAAACAAAACTGTGGCTTAAAGAATAAAGGCATTTATTCTGCTCTCACATAACAGTTCACTATTCCATGTGGTTATGCAGGTTCCTTCCATCTTGTGGCTCTGCAAAAAAAAAAAAAAATCAAGGCTGCATTGCTATTGCTACTTTTGGGAGGGGATAAAAGAACATGGAGGAGGCACAGTCACTGTTGTCAGGTTCCCAACCTGGAATTAGCAGCATTTCCACTCAAATTCCATAAAACTTAGTTGCTTCATCACACCTAAAACTACAAGGAAAACAGCAAATACAGTCCCAGTTAGGCAGGCATGTTATTCAATGTCAACCCCTATTACCATGGAAAAAAATGGGAGAACAGATTGTGTTAACTACCTCAGTTACTGGTCCACCCCTACCCTTTTTTTTTTTTCCACTGAATTGGGTAACTGATACATCAGTGCTCTCAAGAGAACAGGCAGGAAGAAGGTGACAAATACATCATGCATAACCCACAAGCCTTGACCTGGCAAGCAGAGAGTGGCCATTACTCTCAGGAACTCCACGAGCCAGCCTGAGCAGGGTTACAGCTATAAAGCAACCTGGGTGGCTGGCTGCTGGCAGCACTGAATCTTGTCTAGAATGAATACTTCAGAGATGATCAGATCATCATCTCCAAAACTGTTGCCAAAGAACTGTCAGAGACTTCCCTGGAACTCAGGATCCATTACAGGAAAGTCTGGAAGTGAAGCTGAAACCAAAATATATTTTGGCAGTACAGCGGAGTCTTTCCTTAAGGAGATCTGGCTTCCCCTTCCTTCAAGAGGTTCTAGATCTGTGAAGTTGCTGAGGGCTATGAGAAATCCACATCTCTTGCAAGAATACTACATAGATAACGTTTCCAAATTTCATTAAGTAGGAGAGAAAGGGTAAATAAGCTATAAACATTCAACATCCTTCCCATTCTGCTCTCAACTTACCTTTTCCCACCTTCGTCCCCTGTCATCTTCAGCACACAGCTTCAGGACACAGGACACCTTTTCCTCCTCCTGGATTTCTAATAAATGCTTCCCCTCTCTGCCTGAATAAGTCATATTCCTCCAAGACCCAGGGGTCAAATATAATTTCCTTTGTGAAGCCCCCTTTAAGTTAACAAATATGAGTATCTACTACGTTTTAAACTATGCTAAGAACTGGAGTCCCAAAGACAAGTTTCCTGCCCTCCAGGAGTTATTACAAAGATAGAGGACCTTGATCCTACAATTCTTTGAAATTCAGATTCATAATTACACAACAATTGAGTACTACTGTATCAGGCGCCACCTTTCTTAACTACTTCTCAGAAGACTCCCTAAGTCCCCAGAGTGAATACAGTAGCACCCCCTATGTGTGGAGGGTATGCTCGAAAGCCCCAGTGGATGCCTTAAACCATGGATAATACCAAACCCTATATATACCAGGTTTTTCCTATGCATATACACTTATGGTAAAGGTTAATTTATAAATTAGGCACAGTAAGAGATTAACAACAATAAAAGAGAACAATTTTAACAATATACTGTAATCAACTCTTCCTCTGATGATGGGATGTGAGATGGTAAAATGCCTGCATGGTGAGATGAAGTGAGGTGGATGATGCAGGCATTGTGACACAGCGTGAGGCTACTATTGATTTCCTTTTTTTAAGACAGGGTCTGGCTCTGTCACCCAGGCTGGAGTGATCTTGGCTTACTGCAGCCTCAGCCTCCCGGGTTGAAGCAATTCTCATGGCTCAGCCTCCTGAGTAGCTGGGATTACAGGCGCCCACCACCACGCCTGGCTAATTTTTGTATTTTTAGCAGAGACGGGGTTTTCGCTATGTTGGCCAAGCTGGTCTTAAACTCCTGACCTCAAGTGATTCACCCACCTTGGCCTCCCAAAGTGCTGGGATTACAGGCATGAGCACTACTATGACCTTCTGACGATACATCAGAAGGAGGATCATCTGCTTTGGGTGATCCTGGATCATGGAACCATGACATAGTCAATGGCTGGATGTCAGGAGTAAATGGTACAGATGACTAACAGGTGGGTAGTGTATACAGTGTGGATACACTAGAGAAATGGATGATTCACGTGGGACAAAGCACGGTGCTGCAAGATTTCATTCAGAACGGCACACAGTTGAAAACTTACGAGTTGTTCTGAAATTTTCCATCTAATATTTTTGGACAATGGTAGCCATGGTTTACTTATACATGGGAAGCAAAACCACAGATGAGGGGGCACTGCTGTAGTTTTTCAATTCTCACACTTCCTCTATCCTGCTGCTGAGTAGGTGAACTGAAGACTAAGAAGTAATCTTGCAGTACAGAGTAATAAAGCTCACATTTTAGCAAAATACGTTAACCCTGTTAAAATAAGAGAAAAGACAATCTACTTAAATGTGGTTGCTTTATTTTGCACTTTTAATTCACAAAAAGCTTTACAATATCTACATTCCACCTGTTGATAACCAAGGCTTTATATGGCAAGACAATGAAAATTTTATCACATCAACTGGGCATATGCAAAAACAACGGATAATTTACAAACAAGTCTTTTTAATCAAGAACATTATGTAAAATACACACTCTGGTAAACATCTGAATTCATCCATCCTAAAATTAGACTTTAAGAGGCAAAAAAAAAAAAAAAAAATCAAATAGATTTTAACACTAACAAGCCTACCAGAATAATGCTGATGGCAAGCCATAAACAGCTTTAAATGCTGACTGTAATTTGGGGAAGGGGAGAAAAAGAAATTATTTGTTGTACCTATATTTAAATACATCTGTTAGTGAGACTTCTCTAATTTAATGGATTTCAACAAAGTGGACAACTCCTGAGCCTTTGGTAGTTTCTCAAGTTTTGTTTTTAAACTTGTGACATCTTGACTAAAGGAACTGAACCCTCGGACCAGAATACTTATGGTAAGGAAAAACCCCAGGGAAGCGGGGAGAAGGAGAAACAAGACTAGAACTTTCTTAGTCTATCTAAGGTGGGTAACAAATAAAATCACTGCTCATATGAGGGAAGAATACCAGAGTTGTTATGTGGGATTTAGCTTGGCTTATGTTTTATAAAAGCTAAATAAGTATAAACATCTAAATGGCAAAAATAAAAATCCAAGGTGGTCTCATTTAGGAAATTAAAAAAAAATTGTCCTCAATTAGCTTTTAAATTTGCGGAATGGCACAATACATATTTTGAGGCACCCATTATAGAATCTGTTAAAATTATGCATACTGCTACTTCCTCTTTTAATATAATTTTTATGTACTCTAGGGTAGGTATTATCAGTAGAGGCCACTAAAAATAATGCCAGAATTCAAGTGAGAGAGAATAGAAATGGAAAGAGGAAGGGAGGATAATGAAATTGGGTAGTAAGTAATAACAAACATGAGTTTTAAAGTTTCCTCACTAATAACACAGAATTGTATATTTTGGCTCAATGCCGCTGGGCTGCTGAAGTGACCAGGAAGTGAGTGGAATTCATCTTAATTGCCCCAGTTAGATTCTTAACTAACCCATGATTTGGATGAGGGGTTGTTTCCATAGACTGCTTGGTAAGGGGTAGCTGTGCTGTGCTAACTGCCTATTCGCTTTGTTTCTTTCAAGAACACTTTTGAAAGGACAAGAAAACGTAAAAGGCAGCAGAACAGAACAAAGAACTCATTAGACTACAGAGATTAACACAGCAATAATCTGCCAATAGTTTAATCATGGACATGTTACAATCATCTTGTTTCTTGAGATAGAGCATATGGGCCTATAAAAAAATTTAAAAAATAAAATTCCACTATTCCTGGCATATTCCAAAATTTTCCTCTTTTGATTAGAGTTTTTTTGGACAAGTCCCATGCGGAGTCTGTCCTGAAGACTCTGGCTGAGTGATGGATGAAAGGAGTATTCTGACACAGGTATTTTGCATGAGAACGGCTGGGGGAGTGCCAGCTTTAGTGCAGCCGAGAAGAGAGTGCAGTCCTGATAGGCTGGAACCATTTGTATTTATTCAGTAGAGACAGAATACCAAAGGCCTGAAGCCAACACAATTTGTGAGTAATGAACATTGTCGCCCCCCTTTGCAGGGAGCAGTCTTGCATGATTTCCGGAGGGCATAAGTAAACAAACTTATCTAGATAAATTCCTTTACACTCCCTTGCTACCTACTGTTCGCCCTCAGCCTCAGGGTAAGAGAATTAATTAATAAAGCTGCCTTCAGCTTTATTCTCTCCTGAAGCTTTGGAAAACCTCCCGACCTTCCAATTGCGTCTTTCCTTATAGCTTCTCCTACCAACCTGACCATCTCCTACATCACCCCTTTTCTGTTTTTTGCATCAGGTTTTGTTGATTGACGAGTACAGATGTGTGCAGCAACAGTTTTGTCAGGCATAGCAGTTACTGCTTGTTTTCTGGCTTTACATCCTAGAATTAGTAAACAACAAGAGACAAACATGAGTATAATTAGTAATATTCTTTTCTAACTAAGAAGCGACCCCCAGGAGTGGGGGTCTTTCTAGGAGAGATTTTTTTTTGCATATCCTTCCATATGGCTGTTACTGAGGAACCCCACTGGGGGTATGTTAGTCCCTCCTAGCTAAAAAGTCACACTGCTAGACGCTGGGAAGGGAATAGGGCTGAAAAAAGGCAGATTTAGAAAATGGGCTTAATAGGGTATAGTAGGTACGGGTAACAGGCAAAGTGAGAGAATAAAAAGGACCAATACCTTGCGTGAGTTGCAATGTACAACAGAGAGCATAGCAAGGAACAAATTTTCTGGAGTGAATGGTGTCTGTGTTCGGAGCAGGATCCTCTCAGCCTCCTGAGTTGTCTTCTTCAGCATCCCCCAGGTAATGTCTGGGGCTCCTGTCGTCCGACGAAGCTGTGTCGTCCGACGAACCCGTTTCTTCCGGGGCTGCAGGGGCTGCGGGGCCTGCGGGGGCTGCGGGGCCTGCAGGGTCGTTTCCTTCATTTCTGGTACTTGGTTGGGTCCTAGCCCCACTATGGTATGGTTTGATGCGTCGTGCTGGAATCCAAAGAGGGCCTGAGGGGATGTGAACACAAGCATATCCTCTTCCCCATGTTAGCAAAACATTTGGACCATGCCATATATTACTATTTACATCTTTCCATAAAACTGCAGTTTTATGTCTGGAGAGGTTTTAGCAAAGTGCTTTTCTATAGCTGACTGAAATTTATCATCTAAATTTCAGAAATTAAGGGTAAGTAAGGCTTGTGCTAGTAGTGTTGCAGGGTCTTTACTCATATTCTCCATTGTTTTCTGAGCATATTTTTAAGGGTGAAGTGGGCACGTTCTACTACGGCCTGTCCTTGGGGGTTGTACGGGATGCCTGTGGAATGTTGGACGCTCCAAGTGTGACAAAATTGTTGAGTGAGCTGGCATAAGCCGGACCATTATTAAGTTTTAATTTTTGTGGGCTGCCCCATAAACATAAAAGTTAAAAGATGTTTAATGACAGATGGGGTGGACTTTCCAGGAAGAGCATGTGCGCTAATTAGGTGAGAATAGGTGTCAACGGATACATGTATATATCTTAGTTTTCCAAATTCAGGGACATGTGTAACATCTGTTTGCCATAACTGATTAGGTTCTAGTCCTCTAGGGTTAACACCTGTTGAAGGAGGGGACGTGCCTGTGAGCTGGCAATCTGGGCATTGCAGGATAATTTGTTTAGCTAGTCTCTGGGTAAGTTGACATTGTTTAGTTAAGTTTCTCTAATTTTGGTGGAAAAATTGATGTGATTGGGTGGCTTGGTTAAGCAGTGACATCATAACCTGCAGGTCTGCTTGATCATTGCCATAAGCCAGTGGGTCAGGCAGTGAGCTGTGGGCTCAAATATGTGTGATAAAAATAGAATGTGTACATTGATTTAGCAATTACTGAAGTCAAAGAAAAAAGGCACACAGGGCCGGCTCGAGAGTAGACTTAATGAGGGCTGTTTCAAGGTTCTGCAATAAATAAACAGAGTAAGCAGAGTCACTAACAATATTGATGGGCTGAACAGAAAAAGTTTCTAGGGCCAATATTAGGGCTCCAACCTCAGCTCTCTGAGTACTAGTAAATCTCGATGGAGTGAGGGAGTTATGTGGTTTCCACCAGATAGCCGCTTTTCCATTTTTACGAGAGCCATCGGTAAAAAGCATTACAGCGTTAGGTATGGGGGAGGAAACTACCTTTGTAGGAATAACTACAGAAGTACTAGATAAGAACTGAAGTAGTTTGTCAGCAGGAAGGGCATGTTTTATATGGCCTGCATAATCAGAGAGTGCTATCTGAAGGTCTAGAGATAGGGGCAAGACTGCTTCAAATTGTTTTTTACTCAAGGGAATTCTTATGACATCAGGGTCATAACCTAGCAACTGATGGCATCATCCGCTGTCTGTATAGATGACTTTACTAACTAGCTGGATATAGGGAGATAGTGTTTTAGTCCTGGTATGTGAGCAAAAAACCTATTCTAGGAAGTGCAGCCCTGGGGCCATCTGTCCTATTAATCCTGTAGGGGAAATGTTTAATAGGAAGAACAAACAATTGGACTGAGTATTGTGGGTCTATGTGATCTAGTTGCCTCTGAGAAATAGCTTGATTTCCTCAATTTCTCTTTTTGCTGTGGGGGTTAAATACCTAGGAGAGTCTAGGGCTATACTGCCTTTTAGGATAGAAAACAGGTTCTGTAATTTATCAGTAGTTATGCCCAAGGTGGGGCAAAGATAGTTAATATCGCCTAGCAATTTTTGATAATTATTTAAGGTATGTTAGTTGCTAGTATTTAATTTAACCTTTTGAGGTCTTATTGACCAGGAAGTTAGTATGTAAAGATATTTCTAAGGTGAGGACATCTGTACTTTTTCAGGTGCTATGATTAAACCTCTTAACTGTGTATTCCTTATGACAGAGGCATATAAACTCAAAAGTACTGGCTCCATTGGAGCTGCTAGTAAAATATCATCCATAAAATGAATAATCTTGCAACTAGGATATTCTTTTCTCCTGGGGAGCAAAGCCTGATTTACATAATACTGACACATGGTAGGACTGTTCAGCATTGCTTGAGAAAGTACTTTCTAATAAAATAGGTGAGCTAGCCTTTCATTGTTGATAGCTGGTATTGTAAATGCAAATTTTTCTCTGTCCTGTTCTGCAAGGGGAATAGTATAAAAGCAGTCTTTTAAGTCAGTAACAACTATAGGCCAATCTTGAGAAACTGCTGCGGGGGAAGGGAGCCTGTTGAAGGGGCCCCATAGATTGCAAATTAGCATTGATAGCTTGTAAGCCATGCAAAAGTCTCCATTTGCCAGACCTTTTGGGAATGACGAAAATGGGCAAATTCCAAGGGCTGTTTGATGGTTCTATATGGCCGGCTTTTAATTGCTCAACTAATTTACTGGCTCAGTTGTAATTTCTCTCCCTTTAAAGGCCAGTGTTCTACTACTAGAAAGAGGTTTGCTGTTTATATAATTCATCAAATTCTGTCCTCCAGGGGAGGTACTGACTGGCCTCTAAAATTGTTTTAGCTAGCACTGACCAGTCCTATAGGGTTATATGGAAGTTGTCTGCTATGGCCTTAATTAATCCTTTCGTAAATGGGCTACTAGCAGCTCCATTTTCTCTAATGCTTTTTCTTATCTCTTTATAAGCATAAAAAGTAATGGGTTCATATACTTGATTGCCTTGTCAATTTTGTATCACTGGGCAGGCCAAGAGGTCCCCTTCTAATGCCGCTTGCCTAAAACAGGGTCCCATAGCTGTAGTGTATCTGTTGTCTTTTTTCCAATTTATTGGGGGAGGGGGCTCAGGGAAAACCTCCGTTTCCTCTTTGGTATCTTTATCTGGTAACGGCAGGACTGAGGGAGGAAGAGGAGGCGATAAGGTGATGGTTCCTCCTCCTTTCCCTTCTTAGGCTCTTCTGTGTAGAGCAAGGCCAAAGTAGCCTTAACTAAGGCCCATAACGTTAAAGATTTTACTGGGACCCATTGCCCTTGTGCATGATATCGTTTAAGATTTCTCCCCACTTTTTCCCAAAGCTCTAGGTCCAGCGTGCCTTCTTCTGGGGACCATGGGTTATGGGAAACAACAGTTTGCACTGGGTCCCTTAATTGAGCCTGCGAAACCGAGGCTCTGCTAGCTTTAAGCAGTTGTTTCAATACTTTTATATACTGTTTCTGTTGTGTGGATAGCTGTTGTCCCATGATGAAACCCTAGCTTGAGAATTCCCCTGAACTTGGAAATCCCGAGCGGGCACCAATGACTTACTGACTGCGCAGTCTCTTCGCCTTCGTTTTCGGGGGTTCCGTCGTGATCCATTTCAGTGTTCCTCACAGGGGGTACCTGCTGCCAAGTCTGTCCTGCAGACTCTGGCCGAGCGACCGGATGAAAGGAGTATTCAGACGCAGGTATTTTGTGTAAGAATGGCTAGGGGACTGCCGGCTTTAGCGCAGCCCAAAAGAGAGTGCAGTCCTGATAAGCTGGAGCCGCTTGTATTTATTCGGTACAGACAGAACGCCAAAGGCCTGAAGCCAACACAATTTGTGAGTAATGAACATTGTCGCCCCCCTTTGCAGGGAGCAGTCTTGCACTGATCAAGGGTTGGTTTCTGGAGGACATATGTAAACAAACTTATCTAGATAAATTTCTTTACACTACCTTGTTACCTACTCTTCGCCCTCAGCCTCGGGGTAAGAGAATTAGCTGCCTTCAGCTTTATTCTCTCTGAAGCTTTGCAAAACCTCCCAGCCTTCCAAGAAGGTTTGCGTCTTTCCTTATAGCTTCTCCTACCACCCTGACTGATTTCCTACAGTCCGAAACTTAAAATATCCCTCACCTTCCACCTCAAACTGCATCTTCTATTTATTAGTCTTGTATATGATATTATTTAAGACTCATACATCAGTGAGAGAGTCAGGAGTTTCAGGATTATTGTAATAGAAGACACTGAGTTCATTACTTGGAAAAACGGATTTTTTTCTGAGGTATCTCTCAGAGATTTAAGTGCTCTATTTTATCATTGAATGAGAATTACTCTCAAAGCAAATATTCTCTAAGATACCAAAGTATTCAGTTTATTAGGATAGTACACTTTAACATATTACAAGTTACAAAGCCTAAGAAAAAGCAAGCAACAAGTCAATAAAATCACAACTCAGAATTCTAACATTTTCAGATGGTATATGTGTTGGGCAGGGAGCGGTGGCTCACGCCTGTAATCTCAACACTTTGAGAGGCTGAGGCAGGCAGATCACTTGAGGCCAGGAGTTAGAGACTAGCCTGGCCAACATGGTGAACCCCATCTCTACAAAAAATACAAAAATTTGAATCAAACATTTTAAACAGACTATTTTAGATGTTTATTTAATACTGAAATGTTGTCAACTATCATAAAGTATTTCTCTGCATCACAAAAATTCCATATATTAAGGATTTACACAATCCAGGAAAAAAAATTTTTAGAAACTGTTTTTTTTTTTTTTTAGCCTGAGCAGAAAAATCTAAAAAGGCTCTCCAAAATCTTGAGTGGAAGTATCATACTCTGCAATGAAATGCTTGAGTTCTTCAACACACCGCTCACCTATTTCATGTAAATTCTGCCTCAATGCAAACTGTATAGACTTTTCTAATGAAGGATCTTTTTCAATCAGCATTTTCACCACCATCCCGAAAGTTTCACAGTCTTGTCGGTAAACCTAAAAGGTAAAACACATTCTGGTTAGCTGAGAATGAAAATAACTAGCCAAATACTTAGCTAACTGAGTTGGCAGAATTATGATGCTGACATCTAAAAGAGAGACACAAAAAAGAAAGCGGAACCTTTCTCGCCCTTGCATTGTCACTATTACCAGAGGCCATTTAAACCTCTATCCATGAGATCTGCTGACAATACCTGAATGAGAAGGAAAACATTAACAAACTACATTACTGAATATAGAAGTTTGGCATGGCATTTGTCAGTGTAAGGCAGTCTACTCAAAGGACATCAGACTAGAGATGAGAATAAGAACAAAGGCTAGGGAAGACATATCAATGACTTTGTTCATTTATTTGTTGGAAGAAAAAAGTTTCTGAGCCCCTAACTTTAGATTCTTTGTTTGAATCATGATCAGATAACAAATTCTGTTTAGTGGCCGGGTGCGGTGTCTCACACCTGTTAGCTTAGCAATTTGGGAAGTGGAAGCGGGTGGATCACCTGAGGTCAGGAGTTCCAGATTAGCCTGGCCAACATGGCGAAACCCCATCTCTACTAAAAATACAAAAAATTGGCTGGGCGCGGTGGCGCGTGTCTGTAACCCCAGCTACTTGGGAAGGTGGCGGCCTCTAGAAACTGGGAAACGCAAGGGAATATATTCTCCCTAGAGCCTCCAAAGTAAACGCAGCCCTGCAGACATTCTGATTTGGGTCCAGTGAAACCTGTTTTGAACTTTATATATTATTCTCAGGTTCTCATGGACTATTAACCAAGTTAGACAACATTCTGGGTCATAAAACCTTAAATTTGAAATAATAGGTATCATATAAAGTATGCTTTCAGATCACAATGGAATTAGAACTCAACAACAGAAAGCTAGCTGAAAAATCTCAGAGTATGTGAAGATTAAACAACACACTTCTAAATAACACACAAAATCCACTGGAACTAATATGTGATTATAGCATGGTTGCAGGATGCAGGATTTCTTAATATACAAAAGTCAATTAATTGCTTTCCTATATACCAGTAATGAGCAAATGTAATTTGAAACTAAAACACAACACCATTTATATTAGCACTGGAAAAAAACCCTTAAGTATAAGTCTAACAAAATATATACAAGATTTATATGAGGAAAACTATAAAATACCAATGAAAGAAGATATAAATAAATAGAATATAAATAAAATATAAACTATATAAATATGTATTAATATAAATAAATATAAGTAACATATAAATAAGATATAGAGAGATAGCCCAAGAATTGACAGGAAGAGTCAATACTGTTAAAATACAAGTGCTTCCCAACTTGACCTACATAAATTTCAATATAGTCTCAATGAAAATCCCAGTAATTAATTTTGTGAATATTGACAAACTGATTTTAAAGTTTATACAGAAAGGCAGGAAACCCATAATAATGAATATAATATTGAAGAAAAAAAGGAAAAAAGTCAAAAGACTGACACTATCCAATTTCAAAACTTACTGTAAAGGTGGCTCACGCCTGTAATCCCAGCACTTTGGGAGGCTGAGGCAGGCAGATCACCTTAGGTCAGGAGTTTGAGACCAGCCTGGCCAACAAACAGACAGTGTTAGTGAAACGCTGTCTCTACTAAAAATACAAAAATTAGCTGGGCATGATGGCACTGTCTGTAGTCCCAGCTACTCAGGAGGCGGAGGCAGGAGAATAGCTGAACCTGGGAGGCAGACGTCGCAGTGAGCCGAGATCGTGCCACTGCACTCCAGTCTGGGTGACAGAGCGAGACCTTGTCTCAAAACAAACAAACAAGAAAACAAACAAAAAACAACACACCTTACTTTAAAGCTACAGTAATCAAGATTGTATGCCATTGGCAGAAGAACAGACAGAAAGATCAAGGACAGGACAGTCCAGATACAGACCCATACAAATACAGTGAACTGATCTTTTAAAACAGAGCACAGAAGTAATTCAATGGAGAAAAGATAGTCTTCAACTTGACAGTTACGTTCAAGACTTCATTGAACTTCAACAAGTTGAGCAGTACTTGAACAACTGGTTATCTATCTACATGCAAAATAAATAATCTAGACACAGATCTTATACCTTTCAAAAATATGTTAACTCAAAATGGATCGCAGACCTAAATATAAATGCAAAACTATAATATTTACAGAAGATAACAGAGGAAAAAATCTAGGTGATCTTGAGTTTGGTGACGACTTTTAAATATAACATCAAAGACAATCCAAGAAAAACCCCAATAAATTGGATTTCATTAAAATTTAAAAATCTGTGCTTTGTGAAAGACACTGTTAAGGGCATGAACAAACAAGCTACAGACTCGGAGAAAATCTTTGCAAAACACGTATGTGATAAACTAGTATCTAAAATATGCAAAGAACTTATAACTCAACAATAAGAGGGCCGGGCGCAGTGGCTCATACCTGTAATCCCAGCACTTTGGGAGGCTGAGGCAGGCGGATCACGAGGTCAGGAGTTTGAGACCAGCCTGACCAATATGATGAAACCCCCATCTCTACTAAAAATATGAAAAATTAGCCGGGCGTGGTGACGCATGCCTGTAATCCCAGCTACTCGGGAGACTGAGGCAGGAGAATCACCTGAACCTGGGAGGCAGGGGTTGCGGTGAGCTGAGATCGTGCCACTGCACTCCAGCCTGAGCTACAGAGTGAGACTCTGTCTCAAAAAACAAAACAAAAACAAAAAACAAAAAAACAGTAAGAAACAACCCAATTATAAAACAGGCAAAAAACTGAATGACACCTCACCAAAGCAGACATTCAGATGGCAAATGAACATATGAAAAATTGTTCAACATCATTTGTTATTAGGAAACTGAAAATTAAAACGATGATGAGTAGTGAGATACCACTACACATCTATTAGAATGCTTAAAATCCACAACTTAAATTTAAATTTGATTTAAATGTAAATCCACAGCTTAAAATCCACAAAAAAATTTGACACCACCAATTTCTGTCAAAAATGTAGAGCCACAGAACTCTCCTTCATTGTTGGTGGGAATATAAAATGGTACAACCACTTTGGTAGACAGTCCAGCAGTTTCTTACAAAGCAAAACCCAGTCTTACCATACAATCCAGCAATCCCACTGCTAAGTATTTATCCAAATAAGTTGAAAACTTATGTCTACACAAAAACCTGCATACAAATCTTTATATCAACATTATTATAACTGCCAAAAATTGGAAGCATCCAAGATGTTCTTTAATGGATAAATGGACAAACTGCAGTATACTCATACAATGGAATATTTTTCATCAAAAGAAATGAGCTATCAAGCCACAAAATGACACGAAAGAATCTTAAGTGAAAGAAGCCAGTCTGAAAAGGTTATACACTATGATACCAACTATATGACATTCTGGTTATTAAAAAAACAAAAACAAAAACCCATAGACACTAAAGAGATCATAAGTTGCCAGGGGAAAGTGGAAGGGACAAACAGGTGGAACATAGGACATTTCTTAGGCAGATGAAATTATGCTGTATGGGACTGTATGGTAGGATACTGAATGATATATTATACATTTGTCAAAATTCACAGAACTGTAGGAGACAAAGAGTGAATCCTAATGTAAACTATGGACTTTAGTTAATATTAATATATCAATATTGGTTCATCAATCATAACAAGTGTATCACAGTAATGCAAAATGTTAATAATAGGGGAAACTGTGTAGGGAGAACGGGCATATAAGAACTCTCTATGCTCTTGCAGGTTTTCTATAAATCTAAAACAGCTCCAAAAAATAAAATTAAATTTTTTTCCCAAAAATAATCACACAAAAGTGAAAAAAGAAAAAAAGGTTTCTTAACTTTTGTGCCCGAGTTTCAGTACCTACAGCTGACTGTGCTGTTTAAGAATTAAATAAGATAATACAGAACACTCAGAATAGTGCCTGACACATAGGAAGCATTTAATCTAAGGCAGCTATAGTGATGATGATGGAAAGAGGAGAAACAACTGTTCTGACTTTGTCTATAGAAGGGAGTAGTAGAAAATGGTGTTAGAGTTGATAAGTTCTCTCTAGGAAAACAAAGAAAAGGAAAAGGAAACGGTGTTTGGGGGAAATACTATTGGCTTAGCACACCTAGAGCATAGGATATTCACCCTGAAACGAGATCATGAAGAGCTCCTTCAAGGAGCTTAGACATCAACTGATAAATTAACAAAGAGGGAAAGAGCTACAAGTAGAAATTGGAACCTTTGGATGTATCAGGAAGAGAAAAATGAGCAAGAATCTATGCTTTGGGTTCCTGCTCCTGAGAGCCAGGACAATAAATATGACAAGATGTGTGAAAGAAAGATGAGATTAGAGGCTTTACAAGTACAGCAGTCCCCACTTTATCTGAGATTTCAGTTACCTGCTGTAAACTGCAGTCCAAAAATATTAAATGGAAAACTCCAGAAACAAACAATCCTTAAGTTTTAAACTGCATGCTGTTCTGAGTAGTATGATGAGATCTTGTGCCATCCTGCTTCATCCTGCCCAAGACATAAATCCTCCCTTTGTCCCATATTCAATCTTTATATACTACCCACCTGTTAGTCACTTAGTAGCCCTCTCAGTTGTCGGATTGGTAAAACAGAGTATACACAGGGTTCAGTACTATCTGAGTTTCAGGGATCCACTGAGGATCCTGGAACATATCCCCTAAGGATAAGGGGGGGATATTATAATTAAGAAGCAGTAGATGTATGATAATGTGAAGAGTAATAGGTGGAAGGTTTTTTGCTTTTATATAGGAGTGGAGATAAGTTCAGTACTAAGTAGTCACTTGAGGCACTCATGAGACAACCAGAACCAACTATCAATAGGAAGTTAAGTACATGAGTCTGGACTTCTGAAGAAATAAACGCAAGTGAGGAAGAGATTGATTTTATAATCTTTAGCAGTAATGCCAGCTGAGGCCAGGGGAATTTCCTGAAGGAGGGAGTAAGTTCTTCCTAGCACCACAAAACTGATACCCAGTAAATGTTGAATGAATAGCTAAAGTGTGCTTTAAGACAATGTAAGAGCCAAGTGCAGACATCTAAAACCATCGATATCATCCGCAGAAAAATTAAGAATCAAGAGACAGTGAAGGCACAGATGCCAAAGAAAGAGTTTATAAAATAAGGACACAGTCAATCAAATGCCAGAGAAAGATCAAAGAAACATATTGACTGGATTTGGCAATTAGCAGGTAAACCACAATAGCAGTTTGTTGGGATGGTGGAGACTGGAGAGCTGTGCTGTCCAATACAGTAGCCACTAGCCATATGTGACTATATTTTATTTTTAATTAGTGAAATAGAATTAATTCTGTTTCCCAGTCACACTAGCTCTATTTCAAACGCTAGTGGCTGCCATACTGGACATGAGGATATAAAACATTTTCATCACTGCAGACAATTCTATTTAGCAGAGTTGTCATGGAGGACTGAGGAGTAAAAAGAAGGGAAAGTTGTCATGGTTAAGTGGTGATCTAGTAAATTAAATACATATTTGCAACTATTTTACCATTAAAGTGGAAAATAAAAGCTTACAACTTTTAAAGGAGCATTGTGAAATATAATTAGCATCTGTAAAATGTTCTACAACTTTTAATGAAAGGTATATAAAAATAAGTTAAAAAAAAGAAACTCCAATTGGGGCGTAATATACAAGGAACCATTCATAATGTTTAATGTGTTGATGAGGCCAGGAAAAAAGCGATAACACATTGATATTAAATACTGGAGATAAATTTAAACCCTTTAATTTTGGTCTATAGTAATGCAGAAGGTGTCAAAACTATTGTAATCTATGTTGCTGCTTGTGCTGTATTAATAGAAAAAGATATCTTTTGAGTCCTCCTCAAAGCTGCAGCCCCAATGCCTCTTAAAAACACAGCTCCTAAAAAGAACACTGGTGGTTGCTAAGAAATGCATTATGAACACATGGATCAGAGCTATAGTGCCTACATTCAATATGTGAGTGAAATTATTACAACCACAAAAGGAAGCAACTGCAAAACCAATTATAAATTAAGGACATGCTAAAAAGCCTCAGCAATCAATGTTTATAGAATTCTCATACACAAATACAGACCAATTTATAAATATATAGAATTCAACCAAAGATTAATCCTTAATTATGACTTTTTTATCCCTTTCAGCTTATTAGTTTTTTCAATCATAATATACTAGACAAAAAGAAATAATTCCACATATAAAAAAGAAATAATTCCAAATAATGTAATCATTGCAGAATAGTTAATGCCAAAACCAGATTCCACAAAATTTAAATGTAAGACCTAAACAGGGCTGGGCGCGGTGGCTCACGCCTGTAATCCCAGCACTTTGGGAGGCCAGGGCGGGCAGATTGCCTGAGGTCAGGGTTCAAGACCAGCCTGGCCAACATGGTGAATGCCTGTCTCTACTAAAAATACAAAAATTAGCCAGCCATGGTGGCATGCACCTGTAGTCCCAGCTACTGGGGAGGGTGAGGCAGGAGAATTGCTTCAACCCGGGAGACCAAGGTTGCAGTGAGCTGAGATCGCGCCGTTGCACTCCAGCCCAGGAGACAGAGCAAGACTCCGTCTCAAAAAACAAAACAAAAACAAAAACATAAAGAAACAGTAATTTATTTCCTCTCCTACTGTACCCTCACTCATAATACTCAACACTTCACTTCTGGCATGCCCACACATCAGTTCCCCAGCAGACACCAACTGGGTTAAGATCCCATAGGCTAAGGACTCAGTCCCACAAGACTAACCCCCAATACAGAAACCAATTCACAGGTCCCAGGCCTCCAAAACTTCTGACCAGGCAACTATAAACTGAGGGTTCTTACAAGCCCCTCCTTGGGTTCAATCATTTGCAAGAGCAGCTCACAGAAAGTGCTTTACTTACAAATACCATTTATTTATTTTTATTTCCAACTTTTATGATCATCCCATCACTTAGGTATTAAGCCCAGCATCCATTAGCTATTCTTCCTGATACTCTCCCTCCCTCATTCCCCAGCCTCCAACAGGCCCCAGTGTGTGTTGTTCCCCCGCTTGTGTCCATGTATTCTCATCATTCTGATCCCACTTACAAATGAGAACATGTGGTATTTGGTTTTGTGTTCCTATGTTAGTTTGCTAAGGAAAATGGTCTCCAGCTCCACAAATACTGTTTATTATAAAAGGATACAACTCAGGAACAGCCAGATAGAAGAGATATGTAGGGCAAGGTATGGGGGAACAGGTATGGAGCTGTTGTGCCCACTCTGAGTATACCACCTTTGTAGCAGCTCTACCTGTTCAGCAACCCAGAAGCTCTCCAAACCCTGAACTTTTGGTGGTGTTATGTTTTTTTAAAATAAATTTTATTGTGTGTATTTAAGGTTTACAACATGTTATGGGATACATATAGATAGTAATATCTATCATCTCACACAGTTGGTCCTTGAACAATACAGGTTTGGATTGAGTGGGTGCACTTATATGTGGATTTTCTTCTACCTCTGCCACCCCTAAGATGGCAAGACCAACTTATCTTTCCTCAGCTTATTCAATGTGAAGACAAGGAGGATGAAGATCTCTATGATAATCCACTTCCACTTAATGAATAGTAAATATATGCTGTCTTATTATTTTCTTAATAACATTTTATTTCCTCTAGCTTACTTTAAGAATACAGTGTGGGCCGGGTGCGGTGGCTCACGCCTGTAATCCCAGCAATTGGGAGGCTGAGGCAGGTGGATCACGAGGTCAGGAGATCGAGACCATCCTGGCTAACACAGTGAAACCCCGTCTCTACTAAAAAATAGAAAAAATTAGCCAGGCATGGTGGTGGGCACCTGTAGTCCCAGCTACCCGGGAGACTGAGGCAGGAGAATGGCATGAACCCGGGAGGCAGAACTTGCAGTGAGCAGAGAACGCACCACTGCATTCTCCCTTAAGTAAGCAACTCCCTTACAGTTGCTTTTGAAAATAATTGGCAACCAGAATGCCAGGTTCCATTTAATGAGGTTAGATTACCTCCACCATCTGATATAAAAAAATAAATTAGTGAAGGAGATGAAGTAGAGGTATATTCAAGAGCAAATGACCAAGAGCCATGTGGATGGTGGGTGGCTAAAGTTTGGATGATGAAAGGAGAATTTTATGTCATTGAATATACTGCTTGTGACGCTACTTACAATGAAATAGTCACATTTGAACAACTTTGGCCTGTCAATAAAAATAAAACTGTCAAAAAAAAATACCGTCTTTAAATGCACAGTGGATTTTCCTGAGGATATGAGAGAGGCGTGTGCTAATGAAAATGCACATAAAGATTTTAAGAAAGCAGTAGGAGCATGCAGAATTTTTTACCATCCAGAAACAACACAGCTAATGACACTGTCTGCCAGTGAAGCAACTGTGAAGAAAGTAAACATCTTGAGTGACATGCGTTTGTGAAGTATTTGTATGAAGCTGATGCTTATGACCAGAAATGAAGAGATCACTAAGCATTCAGAATGCACAAAACAACTTGCAGCAGCTTTTCCTGAGGAATTTGTTGTGAGAGAAAATTTAATGGGTGTGGCAATAGGAACACATGGTAGTAACATTCAGCAAGCTAGGAAGGTTCCTGGAGTTACCGCATTGAGCTAGATGAAGACACTGGAACATTTAGAATCTATAGAGAGTGCTGGTGCTGTAAAAAAGGCTAGAGGTTTCTTGGAATTTGTGGAGGATTTTATTCAGGTTTCTAAGAATCTCACTGGAAAAGTAATTGGAAAAAATGGCAAAGTTATTCAAGAAATAGTGGACAAATCTGATATGGTTCCGGTGAGAATTGAAGGGGACAGTGAAAATAAACTACCCAGAGAAGACAGTATGATTCCATTTGTATTTGTTGGCACTAAAGAAACCATTGGAAATGTGCAAGTTCTTTTAGAGTACCATATTGCTTATCTAAAGGAAGTAGAACAGCTAAGAATGGAATGCCTACAGATTAATGAGCAGCCATAACAGATTGGTTCTAGGTCTCATAGTGGAAGAGGCAGAGGTTGTCAGGGCCCTAATTACACCTCCAGTTATGGTACAAATTCTAAGCTGTCTAACCCCTCTGAAATAGAATCTGAGGGTAAAGACAAGCTGAGTGATTGGTCATTGAAGAAGATGATCGAGACAGCCGACATCAGCGTGACAGCAGGAGATGCCCAGGAGGAAGATGCAGAAGTGTTTCAGGGGGTCGAGGTCGTGGTGGACCACGTGGTGGCAAATCCTCCATCAGTTCTGTGCCCAAAGATCCAGACAGCAATCCATACAGCGTACTTGATAATCAGAATCAGATCAGACTGCAGACACTGATGCCAGCAAATCTCATCACAGTACTAATCGTCATACGAGGTCTCGTAGACGAAGGACTGATGAAGATGCTGTTCTGATGGATGGAATGACTGAATCTGATACAGCTTCAGTTATTGAAAATGGGCTAGGCAAAATATGTGATTGAAGAGCATGGTCCTTCAGAAAAGGCAATAAATAGCCCGACTAGTGCTTCTGGCAATGACATTTCTAAGCTACAGCATACTCCAGGAGAAGAAAAGATTAATACCTTAAAAGAAGAAAACAGTCAAGAAGTAGCAGTCCTGAATGGTGTTTCATAAACTGAAGAAGTTCCTAGTTTACAGTTCTTTTACATTACATTTACAACAGTGCTTGTACAAGCTTGCCAAAGATAGAATATGGATCGCCAGTCTTTGCATCGCACTTTCAGTTCTACCATTTGGAATTCAAAAAGGGGAGGGATCCTGAATAAATCATATGTTAAACATACTTTGACACCTACTGGGTTATAAATCATCAGATGTTCCTTGAGAATAGTATATGTAACATTAAAAAAAAGTTGCTGGCTATAAGAAATGTTATTTTCTTTTCAAAATATGGCAGATGGGGGGTGGTGGGTGAGGTGGGATCCCTAACATAATATTCTTTATGAAAGCACTGGCTGCTTTTGTTACATTTTTAATATGCAACCACTTCTTCATCTGAGGAAAACTAGAATAAAATGCAGTCTAAAATATTTTGCACTGAACTGTAATTTCTCCATTAGTTTAGTTTGGAAACTGGTCTGTTTTAATATGTTTTTTAAATGCTTTATAGAGAAAAATCTGCAGACCACTGGAATACATTTATTAAACTCTCATCTGCAGGGACACTGGGTGATATTTGGCAGTGACTGTTCCACCTTGAGGGTTTGTTTGGTTTATTTATTAAAGTGTACAGTATTTAAAAATAAAACATAGCTTTAGTTAAAACACTAAGCTGAATTAGTCATGTCCATTCAGACATAACTGGAACTACTGAAAATACTAATTTCCAGAAGGCTTATTCTATATAAACTACATGTTAGTCTTCAGTAGAGTATCTTTTTTATCTTGTTTTGTTTAATTTCAGTTGTTTGATGTGCAATATGTTTTTGTATGCAGATAGTAAATAAACATTGATCTTCCAAAAAAAAGAGATAACACAGTGTATTGGCCAGGCACGGTGGCTCACGCTCATAATCCCAGCACTTTGGGAGGCTGAGGTGGGTAGATCACCTGAGGTCAGGAGTTTGAGACCAGACTGGCCAACATGGTGAAACCCCGTCTCGACTAAAAATACAAAATTTAGCTGGGCGTGGTGGTGGGTGCCTGTAATCCCAGCTATTTGGGAGGCTGGGGCAGAATTGCTTGAACCGGGAAGGCGGAGGTTGCAGTGAGCCAAGATCACACCATAGCACTCTACACGCCAGCCTGGGTACTCCGTCTCAAAAAAACAAAACAAAACAAAACCAAAAAAAGAATATAGTATATGTAATATGTATAGCATACAAAATATGTGTTAACTGACTATGTTATTGATAGGTCAACAGCAGACTATCTGTAGTCAAGTTTTGGGACAGTCAAAAGTTACATTTGAATTTTCAAATGTTAAGGGTGGCGGGGGGACAGCATCACAAATCCCTGAGTTGTTCAAGTATCAACTGTAAGGGTGTGTGTGTGTGTGTGTGACTGTAGGGGTGTGTGTCTGTGTCAGAGACAGAGAGAGAAGAGCAGCTAAAATCGAAGACCCATCACAAAAACACAGTTGATTAGATCATTGGCCTTTGGTGAGCGGCTCAACCTTCAGTCCCTCTCCACCCCTTTTAGAGGTCAAGGGGGTAGGCTGAAAGTTCCAACTCTCTAAACACATGGTTGGTTTCCCTGGGCAATCAGCCCCTAAACAGAGGCTATCCAGGAGCTCCCCCGGCCATTGGTTACCTCATTCACATACAAAAAGACACATCACTTTAAGATTCCAAGCTGTGTGCCAAGAAATGGGGGCAGAAGCCAAATATATATTTCTTATTACATCCAGAAATGGAAAGATAAGTGACAAAACAAATAGAGCAAAAGCTTAATTATAGAATCCAGGTGATGGGTATACAAAAATTTTCAAAATAAAATGAAGATGGATCTGTTCTGCTTTGACCCTGGAGGATGAGCTTTGCATCTTCTCGATATGGGTTAGATATTAATGAATCTGCAAATGCTGACATGAGTGTGAATGACAGATAAATGTGCCTGCCACACAGCTAGAGCTCACCTTCTATGTTAAAGCACTGGAATTGGTCAGAGTACAACAAGCTCTGTTCAAGGACTTTACATTCTAGTAAAAAGACCAACACATTAAAAATAACCAAACAACAAGGCAGAATATGGTAAATGCCATAAAATAAATATAAAGTGTTGTAATTATTCCAAATAAAAGATCATGGGAGTTGCAGGGAGCACTAAGACAGCGTGAACTGTTCTAAGCACCTTGGAAGCAAAAAAGCATAGAGTGTTTAAACAGTAATGAATCTTGGAATATAGGGAAGTTTTGGGAAAGATAGTAGACTGCAATCAAAATGGAGCTAGACATGAGCAGGTAAGGCAAAGACCAAATTCTTAGACTTAAAATAACTTATGGTAGAAACACTGTAGACATTTTTTCTCTCATTCAAAAGGCAATAAACAAACAACTAAAGACTGTTGATTAGGAAAAAAACCAATGTATTCATTGCTCAGTGAATTTTGAGAAAAGTAATTTTGTATTCAATGTCAATTACTGGCTTGGGAAAAGAATTTCTAAGATGCAAAACATATAAAAAGGCTAAATCTAAAGAAAAATATTCATAATGAACACAGGATGAAAGGCAATTAAATACATAATAAAATAGGCTTTAAAGTTCTAAATGCTGAGAAAATGGGTACAAATATTGTGCAATATGATAAAATTTCATTTGGCTTTTGATATTGTCGTGTCTGAGAATAATAAAAATTATTTAATAAAAGCAAGGAGGAGTAGGCTTAATTTGCACATTTCCCAAGTCATGTCCAAAACATCCATCATAATGAAACAGATCACAGTTTAAGATGGCAATTCAGCTCCCTAAACGATATCTGTCACTTAGAAAGTCCCTTAAGTTAAAAAAAAAAAAAAAAAGAAGTTAAAAAGGCAAACTTCATTTTTTTTAATTAAGTATTAAAACTTTCCATTGGTTATTGGGGAACAGGTGATGTTTGGTTACATGAGTAAGTTCTATGGTGGTGATCTGTGAGATTTTGGTGTACTCATCACCTGAGCAGGCAGTATACACTGCACCCAATATGTGGTCTTTTTTATCCCTCACCCCCCTCCCACTCTTTTCCCCTGAGTCTCCAAAGTCCACTGTGTCTTTCTTATGCCTTTGCACCCCACATAGCTTAGCTCCCACATATGAGTGAGAACATACGATGTTTGGATTTCCATTCCTGAGTTAGTGACTTCACTTAGAATAACAGTCTCCAATCTCACCCCGCTCATTCCAAATGCCACTAATTTGTTCCTTTTTATGGCTAAGTAGTAATCTATTGTATATATACATACCACAGTTTCTTTATCCACTCGTTGACTGATGGACATTTGGGTTGGTCCCATGATTTCACAGTTGCAAGTTGTGCTGCTATAAATATATGTGTACAAGTATCTTTTTCATATAATGACTTCTTTTCCTCTGGGTAGATACCCAGTAGTGGGATTGCTGGATCAAATGGTAGTTCTACTTTTAGTTCTTTAAGGAATCTCCACACCGTTTTCCATAATGGCTGTACTAGTTTACATTCCCACCTGCAGTGTAGAAGTGTTCCCTCTTCACCACATCCATGCCAAACATCTACTGTTTTTTGATTTTTTTGATTACGGCCATTCTTGCAGGAGTAAGGTGGTACTGCATTGTGGTTTTGATTTGCATTTCTCTGATCATTAGTGATGTTGAGCATTTTTTCATATATTTTTTGGCCATTTGTATGTCTTCTTTTTAGAATTGTCTATTCATGTCCTTAGCCCACTTTTTGATGTGATTGTTTTTTTTCTTGCTGATTTGATTGAGTTCGTTATAGATTCTGGGTATTAGTCCTTTGTCAGATGTACAGATTGTAAAGATCTTCTCCCACTCTGTGGGTTGTCTGTTCACTTTGCTGACTGTTCCTTTTGCTGTGTAAAAGCTCTTTAGTTTAATTAAGTCTCAGCTATTTATCTTTGTCTTTATTGCATTTGCTTTTGGGTTCTTGGTCATGAAATCCTTGCCTAAGCCAATGTCTAGAAGGGTTTTTCCTAAGTTGTCTTCTACAATTTTTATAGTTTCAGGTCGTAGATGTAAGTAAGTCCTTAATCCATCTTGAGTTGATTTTTGTATAAGGTGGGAGATGAGGATCCAGTTTCATTCTCCTACATTGGCAGCACCATTTGTTGAATAGGGTGTCCTTTCCCCACTTTATGTTTTTGTTTGCTTTGTCGAAGATCAGTTGGCTGTAAGTATTTGGGTTAATTTCTGGGTTCTCTATTCTGTTCCATTGATCTATGTGCTTGTTTTTATGCCAGTACCATGATGTTTTTGGTGACTATGGCCTTACAGTATAGTTTGAAATCAGGTAATGTGATGCCTCCAGACTTTTCTTTTTGCTTAAAAAGGCAAAATTCTTATGTAAACACTGAATTAATTTTTATATACAGCTATTTCTTACAAAAGAAATATTTGAGAATTATCCAAAGAAAAATTTTAAACACAATAACTTCAAATAAATCTTTTTACAATTTCACAGATGAGGTAGTCCAGTCTTCATGAAATAATTTAATATTATCAGAAAAGTGCAATGTCCTGACTGTACAAAAGGTCACATTTTAGATCTGACTAAGGCTAAAAGAAAGTAATTAACTGGCAACAGCCAGTTCTCGAAGTGAAAAAAAGTCTTACATTGGTTTGAGAAACCTGCACGGCGCGAGATCCACCCAGTTACTCTCCAACAGGAGAGAAATTTGTCAGCAGGAATGACTAAGCGGGAAGCAGCTTAGCTATTTCAAGACCCACCCCCTCCACTTCCTTCCCAGCTCATCTACCACCAAAGAGGTCAGAGACAATTCAATATATAGGTCGCATTATCTTCTGAAGATACAGAAGTTATGTCTCAGAACATAGAAGTTTTAACTGTTACTGGGTCCAATGAGTTGAGTTCTCAATTCAGGGAGGCCTCACCACCTAAGAACAATTTTTGGAGAATGGGGAGGAATCCTAGCAAAGGTCTCCATGTCTAAGGATGGCTGTGGGTTACAATTCTAAAGGTCTTTTTATTTGCTTATTCAAATATAATGACATTTAAAAATTCCTGGCAAATTAGAAGTATTAAGTTACTAACTTAACATTTTCATATAGACCTTTGTATTATTTTATGTACCAGAATCCTCAAAAGCACTCTGGAGTTATTGGCCTTTTTTTATAAAAATAGTGAAGCAGAGAGATTAAAGGAGTTAACTGTAAGAAATACAATAAACATTCATAGCCTAGATTTCAAATTCACTCCTTATCATACTGCTGCTACAAACTCAAGATAATTATTAAAATCCAAAATAGAAATGAAGCCCTGACTGAACTAAATCCTTAGCAAAGATAAATGAACTTGCTTGGTTTTGAAGAGTAGTGTAAAGAAACTGGTTTGGAGGGGTCTGGAAGGCAGGTCATCTGATTATGATTCCTAACTGCCATGAGACAATGCATGAGGGTGTGTGTGTGTGTGTGTGTGTGTGTGTGTGTGTGTGTGTGTGTGTGTGTGTGTGTGGTGTCAAGTCTAATACTGTACTTTAAGTTATTCAAGTCATTCCTCTAGTGAAATTTGAAACGTGGATTATTTTTCCATATAGCTTCAGGGATGCCACTAAGATAGAAATAAATAGGTCAGATCAGCCATCTGCCCCATGCTGGGAAAAGCATTATTATTCTGTAAGCTACTTATGCTTTGGTTGGTTAAAGAGCATTTTATGGTTGAAATGGGACATTTTCAAATTATCCTGCAGAGGCGGCAAGTTCTTCCTTAGTTTCTTTTGACAGATGATCCAGTGGACCAGGCACATTCACTCTACTATCCCATTTCTTTCAATATTAAAATCCTGTATCGTGTATACACACACAGGACCTAGAAGGACACATCAAACTGTAAACTGCTTGTAATTATGGATGACTTTGTCCCTTGCTTCCTGTGTTTTTTGTTACCCATGATGCACATATTAACTTTTTAAAAATAAAAGTCATTTTAAAAACCTGAGGAGGCTGGGCACAGTGGCTCACGCCTGTAATCCCAACACTCTGGGAGGCCGAGGCAGGTGGATCACAAGGTCAGGAGTTCGAGACCAGCCTGGCCAACATGGTGAAACCTCATCTCTACTAAAAAAACACAAAAATTAACTGAGCATGGTGGCATGCGCCTGTAATCCCAGCTACTCAGGAGGCTGAGGGAGGAGAACTGCTTGAACCCGGGAGGCAGAGGTTGCAGTGGGCTGAGATAGCACCACTGCACTCCAGCCTGGGCGACAGAGCAAGACTCCATCTCAATAAAATAAAATAGGCTGGGCGCAGTGGCTCACGCCTGTAATCCCAGCACTCTGGGAGGCCGAGGCAGGCAGATCACCTGAGGTCAGGAGTTCAAGACCAGCCTGGCCATGGTGAAACCCTGTCTCTACTAAAAATACAAAAAAAAAAAAAAAAAAATTAGCCAGGCATGGTGGTGCACACCTGTAATCCCAGCTACTTGGGAGGCTGAGGTGGGAGAATTGCTTGAACTGGGAGGGGGAGGTTGCAGTGAGCCGAGATCGCGCCACTGCACTTCAGCCTGGGCAGCAAGAGCGAAACTCTATCTCAAAAATAAACAAGTACATACATACATACATACATACATACATACATACATACATACATAAAATAAAATAAAAATAAAAACCTGAGGAAAAAATTCTATATTGGAAAGCTGATTTTAGTAGAAGTTACTTTTGTTACTATGAAATTTCTCCATGTCTTAACACTGTATTATGTTACTACACGTGTTATTATGCTTTTTTTCTTTTTGTTTTCTGTAACAATTTTGTAAATAGTTTAAATATTCTGTATGCTTAGAAAAACTTTCATTTTTTTATAGTATCCAGGTATCGTGACTTTTCAGCCCAAGAAAAATAAGTCTTTGCTCATGCAGTATTTCTGGGAGACTTTCAAAATGTATGCCATAATCTCTTTTTTTGTGGCTGAAGCGAGTGGGGGTAGCTAGGAGGTAAACAGGATCAGAAAGTGCTAGTGCAGGGTGGTCAGGATTACCTACAGCTCCAGTAAATAGGCAGTTTCTGTTTAGCTGCTCCCTCCTCAACCTCCTAAGATAGGCCAGCCCCTGAAGCTGTATTTACATTATATGCCAACTGAAAAATATGTATTTGTAGAAGACAGGATTTAAGAGTTTTAGTAATAAAGATGAATCCTAGAGTTCACTAACTTATAAAAAACTGGTTTGATGTTGACATTACCAAGGAATACCTAGGAAACAGGGATGGCAGGAAGGTGGGGAAAGGAGGCAAGGGAAGAAAGGGAAATTATGGAAGAAAATAAGTTGCCTCGTGGTCTTCCAGTTCCAGGTTCTAAATTTGGTTTCTGTCCTGTTACATGAGAAACCCTGCAAATTTTCAATACTTTGCCTTTACTTGCTGAAGGTAGTTTGAGTGGGTTTTATAATGTTTTTAAACTTTCTCCAGATACCTACCATGATAGCCTGCTTCATGGAATAGATGTTACCTGGCCTTCTGGGAGCAGTGCAGGCCTGTGCAATTATACTTGCACTGCAGCCTATCTGCCTATCAGCAGTGCTTTAACATTGGCAGAAACGCCATCATGATGTTATAGATCTATGTTCTCATCAATGTAATTGCAAAACCCATCAAAGGTGCTTCACAAGCCTCTATTCAACATAATTAAAGATAGGCTATAATTTTCCATGGTCGGCCAGGTGCAGTGGCTCACGTCTATAATCCCAGCACTTTGGGACACCGAGGTGGGCAGATCACCTGAGGTCAGGAGTTTGAGACCAGCCTGGCCAACATGGTAAAACCCTATCTCTACTAAAAATGTAAAAATTAGCTGGGTGTGGTGGCTCATGCCTGTAGTCCCAGCAACTTGGGAAGCTGAGGCAGCAGAATCACTTGAACCAGGAGGCAGAGGTTGCAGTGAGTTGAGATCATGCCACTGCACTCCAACCTGGGCAACAGAGTGAGACTCAGTCTCAGAAAAAAAAAAAAAATTTGCATGTTAAAAGCTAAACAATTACTAATCCTTAAAGTTTCCTTTGAAAATATAGCTATTGCTACTTCTACTGGAAAAAAGAATAATGTATCTGCTTTCAGCTCATCATATAGAAATGTAGGATAATAGAATATTATCAGTCTACTTAATCATACTTCTCCCAGAGACGGACTTTTCAATTAGGTAACATACAATACCACTCTGAATACTTCCAAGATGCGTTTTTTCTTTCCAGAAGAAAGGTATTACTCATAACTAATATAAATAGCACAGTTTCATTTTAAAAATAGGAACTGTGGTATCAGGTAGATTAAAAGTAGGCTAAAATTAATTAATATTTAAAATAATTCATTATTTTACTTTTATCTCTGAAGGCATTATGTACAGTGGGGAAAATCCATAAATACTATTATATATAAATGGAAGTCCATATTTTCAAGATCTGTCTGTAGATATTTTCTAGTCCATATAAGCAAAATTCATAGAGTAATTGGTATATGAATTAAAATTAATCTTGATTTGTCCAGTTGGCAATACAAATATAAACTGCTACTGACTTCTCAAATGATATTAAGTTCCTTCCAAGAATCAGAGAAATACTTAGAATAATACTGTGCACAAAAATGAACATACTAATGTTAGAACCATGCTGTCATTATTACATCAACTAGTCATATTGCTACTTCCACTTTATGCTCAAGGTAAATACCGGGTGTTAGTTACTAAGCACAGTGCTATTAAATTTTAGTAAATGAAGATATCAATCTTGTTTTCAAGAAGTCTTTTTGAAATAGAATTTACCTACAGCCAAGGATTTGAGGTAGGAATCCAGTCAAATTAATGTTTTGTTTGCAAATAATTTGGGGTAAGCCAGTATTAAGGAACACAACTCAGTATTTCTATTTATTAGAAATTACAAGGGCAAAAATGGTAGTGTTATAACTAAGAAATTCTACTGAAATCCTTAAAAATCAAATGAACCTTGCCATACATATTTTCAGTACGTAGCATGTTTATTAAAATTGATTTTTTAAATTTGAACTATTAGTTTACAACATTGTAACTTTTTTGGTTAGTAAAATCACTAAAACTGGAATGACTCGTCAATTTTAGGAAAGAATAACAGGGAAAGCCAGAAATAAAAATCTTTGTTTTAGCAGTGCTGAACATTTGATTGGTTCAGATAAGAGTCAGAAGGCTGACCAACTTAGCACAAGAGCCAAAAGAAACAGTACGCTGTCATTTCCCCTTTAACCTTACTTCATGGAAAATTACCATGTGCTCATGTAGATACAACATAGACAGAAATTTTTCATATAAACACATCCTGGAAAAAGGCATTAAACCATTCTTCTCCTCATACACATTTTCAGTGTCCTATCACAATAAAAAGCATAAACATCAAAATGTGGCTTTGCTCTCTGAGGGTTTAGTGTTATTTGTGTTGTAGTATTTAAAAGTCCAGAAATTATTATTTATGGTTTGACTTATTTTCTGAAAAACACTAAATCATTTGTAAAAATTAACTGCTAAATTATTGTAGTATTTTTAAAAGGGATGATTACATGCCTTTAGAGGTACCATTAGTGCTGAAATCTGACCCTGTGCACTCTTACTTCTGGTCTTACTATTTCTACACTCATAACACTAGCACAGACCTAACCAATACAGCACTGTTACATCACAGCACAGCAGCTTTCTTTCTAGCAGTTTTGCTTCTAGCCTATTTTTATTCTAAACTTTCTTATTCACAGGTGCCATCTTCCTTAAAGTAAAATTAAAATAAAAACAAAATAACAAAAATCCTACACCAAAAAAAAAAACTCCAACCTTCCCAGTATACTGCTCCTCTGGCTTCTGATCTGATCCACTTAAATTCAACAAAATCTTAGCTACTAAAACTTTCTCATCACCCATTAAAATACTATCTACTATACATTCTAAAGCATTTTACCTTCTCTCATATGCCATCTGCATTTCCCTGGCTGCTTCTCTAATTTCTTCAAAATTTTGTTTAAGATATTTGTCACAGCTCAGCGTAATGGCTCATGCTTGTAATCCCAGCACTTTGGAAGGCTGAGGCGGGTGGATCGCCTAAGGTCAGGAGTTCGAGAGCAGCCTGAACAACACGGTGAAACCCCATCGCTACTAAAAATACAAAAATTAGCCAGGCATGGTGGTGCATGCCTGTAATCCCAGCTACTAGGGAGGCTGAGACAGGAGAATCGCTTGAACCTGGGAAGCAGGAGGTTGCAGTGAGGCAAGAACGGACCACTGTACTCCAGCCTGGGCAACAGAGCAAAACTCCATCTCAATCAATCAATCAATCAATCAATAAAATAAAGATAGTTTTCACAGAGTCTTTCTGGATCAATTTTTCCAGGTTACTCTAAATATTTAAGAAATGTATGTATTTTTCTGTCCTTCCTACCTCCTCCATTATCTTGAGGACAGAACCACTTCTTTTGCTTCCTTTTTAACTACCTCAGAGCCTCCCAGTGTAAGGCTGAGAAAAAGTTGATTTTTAATTATCTCTGATTTATCTAAAACTATAAAATCAAATATTCTAGCTTTGGCTCAAATTTTAATTAGACATTTTGATCATCCTAACCAACTGATCCACATGCAAACTGATATCAGTGAATAAATCTGTTCAAAAGGAGGTGGTCAATAAAAATTATTCCTTGGTTAAGATTATAATTAAAACCATAATAGATTTAGAATTACATGGAAGGTGAATTGTAACAAACAAGTTCTGAAATCAACCAGGGAAGACAGTTGACATTATAATGTCATTTCAAAATAGTGAAAAGCCTAAAACACAGTATCCTGAAAGCTAATCTAATGTTATCACTGTTTTGTTTTTGACAAATAAAACTTCTCAGTATTTAGTACCAATTATTCATATATGAAAAATACACACAGAATCTTGCTGACAGTTGGCTTAGCAAAATGAGAGAGAGAGAGAGAGAGGGAGGGAGGGGAGGGGAGGGGAGGGGAGGGGAGGGCGGGAGGGAAGGAGGGAAGGAAGGAAGGATATGTAGCTGGGTGTGGTGGCACACACTTGTAATCTCAGCTACTCAGGAGTCTGAGGCAGGAGAATCACTTGAACCTGGGAAGCAGAGGTTGCAGTGAGCTGAGATGGTGCCACCGCACTCCCTAGCCTGCGCAAGAAAGTGAGACTCCATCTCAGAAAAAAAAAAAAAATCATTTAGAGATACCCTGCTTCACTGCACAGTCATACAATTTCTGCCAGAAAACAATAAACACCAAAAGAGACAAACACACACACACAAAGAGACAAGTTTCAAAATGTCTAAAAACCTATTTATATTGTCTTTTTCAAAAAAAAAAGTATACACACACTCTCAAACAAAACTAGTCCAAGAGTTGTACCATTCAAGATGACACTATTTAAGAAGTATATTATTAAGATGAAGCAATAATTAAAAGGTAAACATATTATATGTAAAAACAAAAGGAAAAATTTTCAGTCCATTGTGTAGGTGTGACAGGAAAGCTCTAAATTTTTCCTCTAAACACTGAATCCTCTCCAGTGATTCAAGCCAGTATTTACCCCATATAGCTCAATTGTGTAGCAGCTGCATTCTGTACTCTATTTTTTGATGGCAAAGAAGTCATGTTAATTAAATTGGAACAACCTAAATATAACTTTAAAAGTCAGTTTTGACTATGATATCCTATATTTCTGCTAGAAGCAGCAGAAGCAGCAACAATCATTCTCCTCACATACTGAACACACTCGCAACTATCCATATAGAAATCAGGTTAAATTGCTTTCTTAGCATTCAAGTCATCATGTACAGATATAATTACACATGAAGGTTTCAAATTCAACTACTTTGTACAATAAGAATCAACTTGTTATAATCTTGGGAAATTAGCCACTCATATCCACAAATATGCCACATGGAAAGGAAAAAATGTAAAAATATTACCACAGGTATAAGTTATTTTCTTTCTATTTAGGCCAAAAATGACCAACACAAGTAACTTCTTATTCATACTAAACAACACAGATATAACTTAATTACAATTCAATCTTCAAAAGTGAAACTAAAAACCACCCTACTCTTCAATTTTTAATTTCCATAGATGCAACTACTATATAGAAAAGTATAAAGGCCAGGCGTGGTGGCTCACGCCTGTAATCCCAGCACTCTGGGAAGCTGAGGCAGGCGGATCACCTGAGGTCAGGAGTTCAAGACCAGCTTAGCCAACATGGTGAAACCCCGTCTCTATTAAAAATATAAAAGGTGTGGTGGTGGGTGCCTGTAATCCCAGTTATTCGGGAGGCTGAGGCAGGAGAATCACTTGAACCCGGGAGGCAGAGGTTGCAGTGAGCCGAGATCACACCACTTCACTCCAGCCTGGGCAACAGAGTGAGACTCCATCTCAAGAAAAAAAAAGAAAAACATGCTCTAAGCATTTAAAATGTCATTCTCTCTTACTTTAAAACACACATATGAAAGAATTTAAACTATTAATGAGCTGACAGGGAAATGTGGCAGAAGGATGAAGATTTTATGGTCATGAAGCCCTAAGTTTGGGGTGCTAGGTAACCCTACTCAAAGCCCCAATTTCTTTGTTTTTATTTTAAATTTTATTTTTAACTGACAAATAATGATTTTATATATTTGTGGGATACAGTTTCCTTATTTGTAATGCGGGAATTATAATAATATCTTACCTTTTGTGAGGATTAAATGAGAGAATGTAATAAAGCACTTAATACTTAGAAAGCATTAATTCATTCAACAAACATCTGAGGAGTTACTAAGTGAAGGCTCAGTACAAGTGGTGAAAAAAACATGTAGTGCCTATCCTCAGGAAACTCTCTTTTTAGCTGGAAAGATATTTTTAAAATGTATAAAAACAAAAAAAATGTATAATTGTGATAAGTTATTATAAAGGAAATAAAGTAGGTTCAATGATGGAGAACTACTTAGATTGGTCAGGGAGATAAAGAAAAATTTTAGGGAAAGGGTGACATTTAGCAGAGGCCAGAGAGAGAATGCTTAGTAGAAGTCATAATCAAGAAAGGCTCTCAAGAAGGGGAAAATGCATGCCCAGTAGAGAGGAGGCCACTATGACTGCAGAACAGTGAGCCATGAGGGTAACATGAAAGAAATTTGGAGGGTGAGGTAGTATACAGTGTTAGCAGGTCTCTATAGCCATGGTGAAGACTTTGGATTTTTATTCTAAGTATAATGGGAAACCACTGGAGGATTTCAAATAGGGAAGCCATTGCATTTAACACGTTTACACGTCAGGAAAAAAAAATTATTGCAATACTCCATTTGGTTACGGAGGCTGAGTTTCAAAATATTCTGCAGTGCTCATCTTTGTTTTAAAATAGTATTGTTCATTCCTTTTAGGTGGGAAATTTTAAATACGTTCCCCATTTCCTGCGTTGATTAAAAAAAAAAAAAAAAAAAAAAAAAAGAGGGCCGGGAGCAGTGGTCGAGGCGGGGCAGATCACGAGGTCATGAGATCGAGACCATCCTGGCTAACACAGTGAAACCCTGTCTCGACTAAAAATACAAAAAATTAGCTGGGCTTGGTGGCAGGGGCCTGTAGTCCCAGCTACGTAGGAGGCTGAGGCAGGAGAATGGCGTGAACCCAGGAGGCGGAGCTTGCAGTGAGCTGAGACCACGCCACAGCACTCCAGCCTGGGCGACAGAGCGAGACTCTGTCTCAAAAAAAAAAAAAACAAAAAAAAAACAAAAAAAAAAACTAGGGCTTTTTTTTTTCTTTTTTCCCTCTTTAGAAGCATTATGATCAATAGTTCAGCTGAGTTATGGATATAAGTTTAACTATTATCACTTGTCTTTTTAATTTTGAAATGTCCCAATAATCTAGTTACTCAGAACTGGTCGAACTTCTTGGCAAATAAACACTGAGTTAAAAAGTAAAAGAGACTAAGTTTGCGTCATTTTTTTTTTCTATAAAATCATCATCTTCACCACCTTATCAGGGGGCAACTTTTATTTAATAACATTTGAAGTGTTTTTACTTGGTCAATTATGGATAAATAATCCGGTTTGCCTTTCTACGCTTACTTAAAGGAGGCTGTGAATTGTTGGAAAAAGTCCAAAACTGCAATTATTTGATCCACTATTAACTCCTTAGTCTCTCTTGTTGACTTCCATACCAACATGTAACATATGGGGTATTCTAAGCCCTTTGCACGCCCAATTCAGGAAATCCAACTGCTGATAGGACTCCCCCTCCTCCCTATCCCATTTCCCCCTACTCTTAGCAAAACTGCCTCTTTCCCAAACTCATCTCCTATCCACCTCAAAAATGTTGTCCTTTATTTTCCTTTCCTCCTATCTCAGAAAAGTGTTTCTCCGAATTTTCAAGATTAGTTCCTATATCTGTGCTACTGATAGCCCCTCTTGCTTTATCAGTTATTCTGTTTTTCCTCTTCAGTCTCTCATTCTACCCTTCTTCTTTCACAAGTGCCCAAAAGTAAACAGATGAACAGACAAATCGGTCGCTAAGTTTTACTTACTTGCCTGCCACAAACTCTCATGCACTTATTCTTCTGCATTTCAGACTCTACCAATTTAACTTAGGCTCTCATTATCCCTCCCTCAAAAAGTAGCCAAACATTTCTGTATAGCCAATCTAATCCTCCAACAAACATCTTAATCATAATACTCATGTATTCAAAATTCATCCACAAGCCCATCATAGAATTCAAACACTTTTTTTCTGGCTTTCAAATTTTTCAACCATCTGGCTCTGATCCACCTATCTCATAAAATGATACTGCATTGCTATCTATTATCTTTATTCTACCTTCAAAATTCAGTAAAATATAAATCTACAAATTTCAGTAAAATACAATCTATATAATCCCATCCTTTTCCATACTACCTTAATTTCTCAGTCATTATTTGAAGACAGTGCCTTTTAACTTGTAGGGTCTGTACTAACTCTGAGTGGTTAGTGCCAGAATTGAGTTGCAGTAGACCAGTTAAGGTTGAAACAGAACACTTCCTTCCTGATTTGCACCCTTTATAATAAAACTGTATTCATAAGTATAACACTCTCCTGAATTCCGTGAGTTGTTCTAGCATATTCTTGAATCTTACAGGGTCATGGAAAACCCTGGATTTGTAGCCAATTGACAGAAGTGCAGGTGATC
Organism: Homo sapiens; assembly: GCF_000001405.40. Taxonomy (NCBI): domain Eukaryota; kingdom Metazoa; phylum Chordata; class Mammalia; order Primates; family Hominidae; genus Homo; species Homo sapiens. Next base: position 42,416,500 of record NC_000012.12, on the reverse strand, counting down.
TGGGGATTCTCAAAGTGAGGCTGAAGTCTGAAGTAAGGGCAGTATTGTTGGACACTGTGCCCTTTAATTGTGTGTATGCACTGATTCCAGGTGGTTAATGCCAGAATTGAATTGCACTACACCTGTTGGGGTTGAAACAGAACACTTCCTTCCAATTTCTACCAAGTCAAGACAAAGTTTCTGTGATCATTATTCAAGACTATTCAAGCTCCTTCTAATTTACCACAGTAAATAAAAATTCATACTCTGTGAATTCAATGCAATAAATGCTGTGACTGGGAAGTAGAATGGGAGAATGAAGGGTACAGGAGGCGAGATTTGTACAGGAGGCGAGATTTTAAAAATACACATGTAAGATGATTTTACCCACACTAAACGACTGATAATTGTTGATTATTCCCTATAGTTCCCTATTTTCCTACTTGCATGCACGTCATTCACCTTTATGTAGAACCTTTTACCTCCTATCTCTACCTATGAGAATCCTACCTGAATTTTAAGAGTCTGATCAAATGTCACTTCCACAGAAAGGCCTTCTTTGGTTCTAACTGGAACTAATTTTTAAATCTCAGTTTAAGGCAAATAAGCATATTAGAAAGCAATAAATAAGAAGTGGTCACAGTTCTACCACTTCTAGCATAAACTTGAACAAGTCACTTGAGCTTTTTAAACATGTAAAATGAAGATAGGACCAAACAACACACTACATTTCTCAGAAAATTCTTCTGCCTCAAAAAATTTAGAAACACATTCTTTTAAAAGTCAAAAACTTTGGAAACACATTCTTTTAAACTGTCAGGAGCTGTTGATGAAGAGAAAGCAAAAAATCAGAGTGATACGCTAATACAGTGGTGAAGCCATGGCTGCCCCAAAGAGCCACGAATCAGAGCCTGGTAGGGATGACAGACATTACCTCGAGCTCATGTAAGAGTGAGTTGGATCTGAGGGGTCTACATAAAGCTAGGATCTCTGTGAAAAGATGAATGAGAAAACAAAAACTGCCTGTTGGTCAAAGAAAATGACAGGTTTTGGCTAGGGGCGGTGGCTCACGCCTGTAATCGCAGCACTTTGGGAGGCCGAGGCGGGTGAATCATGAGGTCAGGAGTTCCAAGACCAGCCTGGCCAAGATGGTGAAACCTTGCCTCTATTAAAAACATACAAATTAGCTGGGTGTGGTGGCATGCGCCTGTAATCCCAGCTACTCGGGAGGCTGAGGCAGAAGAATTGCTTGAACCCGGGAGGCAGAGGTTGCAGTGAGCTGAGATTACGCCACTGCACTCCAGCCTGGGCGACAGAGCAAGACTACGTCTCAAAAAATACAAATAAATAAAAACAAAAATAAAAATGACAGATTTTGGCCTGTGGTCTTAAGTAAAGACATGCAGTCGCCCTTGAGTATTTGTAAGCATAGGTCCACGTTCACACATACTTAAAATTCTGAATATAAGCTCACAACCGCAAAATATAATACATGCAAGGGAACCTGCTACCACGAGTAAGAGTCAGCAGAGACAACAGCTGAATTAAAACCCTGACACCTTAATATTAAAATTATCAGTTACAGATTATAAAACGTTTAAATACATAAGAGAGAATAACATGAGCGATAAACAATCTAATTCTAGGTAAATTTGCAAAGAAAACCAAATTGAACTTCTAGAAATGAAGAATATAACTAACGTTAAGAATTCAATGGAGTAGGCCTAGCCAGAACAATCAGGCAAGCGAAAGAAATAAAGGGCATTCAAACTGAAAATGAGTAAGTCAAACTATTGCTGTTCGTCAACGATGACTATATACCTAGAAAACGTTGAAGACTCCTCCAAAAGACTCCCAGATTTGAGAAACGAATTCAGTAAAGTCTCAGGTTACAAAATCAGTGTATATGAATCAGTAGCACTGCTATACACCAACAACGACCAAGCTGAGAATCAAATCAAGAACTCAATCCTTTTACAATAGCTGCAAAAAAATAAAATAAAATAAAATACCTAGGAATATCCTTAACCAGAGTGATGAAAGATTTCTACAAGGAGAATTACAAGAAGCTGCTGAAAAAGAAACATATCCCATGCTCATGGATTGGAAGAATCAATATAATGAAAAGGACCATACTGCCAAAAGCAATCTACAGATTCAATGCAATTCCTATTAAAATACCAACATCGCCGGCCGCGGTGGCTCACACCTGTAATCCCAGCACTTTGGGAGGCCGAGGCTGGTGGATCACCTGAGGTCAGGAGTTCCGGACCAGCCTGGCCAACGTGGTGAAACCCCCTCTCTACTAAAAATACAAAAATAAGCCGGGCATGGTGGCAGGTGCCTGTAATCCCAGCTACTCGGGAGACAGGCAGGAGAATCGCTTGACCCAGGGAGGCGGAGATTGCAGTGAGCCGAGATGGTGCCATTGAACTCCAGCCTGAGCAACAAGAGTGAAACACTGTCTCAAAAAATAAATAAATAAAATAATAATAAAATAAAACACCAACATCATTTTTCACAGAATTAGAAAAAACAATCCTAAAATTCATATGGAACCAAAAAAGACCCCAAATAGCCAAAGCAATCCTAAGCCAAAAACAAATCTGGAGGCATCACATTACCTGGCTTCAAATTATATTACAAAACTACAGTTATCGGCTGGGCACAGTGGCTCACACCTGTAATCCCAGCACTTTGGGAGGCTGAGGTGGGCGGATCACTTGTGGTCAGAAGTTTGAGGCCAGCCTGGACAACATGGCTGAAACCTCGTCTCTATTAAAAATACAAAAATTAGCTGGGTGTGGTGGCAGGTGCCTGTAATCCGAGCTACTCCAGAAGCTGAGACAGGAGAATCACTTAAACCCAGGAGGTGGAGGTTGCAGTGAGCCGAGATGGCGCCACTGCACTCCAGCCCGGGCAAGAGAGTGACACTCCATCTCAAAAGAATACACACACACACACACACACACACACACACACACACACACACACATATACATATATATAGTTATCAAAACAGCATGGTACTGGTATAAAATAAGGCACATAGACCAATGGAACAGAATAGAGAACCCAGAAATAACGCCAAATACTTACAATTAACTGTTCTTCAACAAAGCATACAAAAACATAAATTCAGGAAAGGACACCCTATGCATAAATGGTGCTGGAAAAACTGGATAGCCACATATAGAAGAATGAAACCGGATCTCTATCTCTCACCTTTATACAAAAATCAACAACTCAAGATGGAACAAAGACTTAAATCTAACATCTGAAACCATAAAAATTCTAGAAGATAACCTGGGAAAAACTCTTCTGGACATTGGCCTAAGCAAAGAATTTATGACTAAGACCCCAGAAGCAAATGCAACAGAAACAAAAATAAATAGGACCTAATTAAATGAAAAAGCTTCTGTACAGCAAAAGAAATAATCAGCAGAGGAAACAACTCACAGAAAGGGAGAAAATATTTGCAAACTATGCATCTGACAAAGGACTAATATCTAGAATCTACGAGGAACTCAAATCAGCAAGAAAAAATAATAATCATCTCCTCAAAAGGTGGGCAAATGACATGAATAGACAATTCTCAAAAGAAGATACACAAATGACCAACAAACATACGAAAAAATGTTCAACATAACTAATCATCAGAGAAATGCAAATTAAAACAACGAGATACCACATTACCCTAGCCAGGAGGGCAATTATTAAAAAGTCAAAAAACAATAATGTTGGTGTGGATGCAGTGAAAAGGGAATACTTTTACTCAGCTGGTGGGAATGTAAATTACTACAACCTCTGTGGAAAACAGTATGGAGATTTAAAGAATTAAAAGTAGATCTACCATCCAATCCAGCAATCCTACTACTGTATATCTATCCAAAGGAAAAGGAGTCATTATATCAAAAAGACATGTGTTTATACAATACGGAAGGAAAAAAAATTAAAAAGACACCTGCATGTATACGTTTATTGTAGCACAATTCACAATTGCAAAGATATAGAACCAACCTAAGTGTCCATCAACCAATGAAACAATATGGTATATATACACCACGGAATACTATTCAGCTGTAAAAAAAAAAAATGAAATAATATCTTTTGGAGCAATTCTGATAGAGCTGGAAGCCAATACTCTAAGTGAAGTAACTCAGGAAACTGAAACCAAATACCATATGTTCTCACAAGTGAGAGCTAAGCTATTGAGTATGCGAAGGCAGACAGAGTGGTATAATGGACTATGGAGACTCACAAGCAGGAGGGTGGAGTGGGTGAGGGATAAAAAACTACTTCTTTTTTTATTTTTTGAGACAAGAGTCTCGCTCTGTCGCCCAGGCTGGAGTGCAGTGGCGTGATCTTGGCTCACTGCAACCTCCGCCTCCTGGGTTCAAGCAATTCTTCTGCCTCAGCCTCTCGAGTAGCTGGGACTATAGATGCGTGCCACCACGCCCAGCTAATTTTTGTATTTTTAGTAGAGACGGGGTTTCACCATATTGGCCAGGGTAGTCTCGAACTCCTGACCTCGTGATCCGCCTGCCTCGGCCTCCCAAAGTGCTGGGATTACAGGCGTGAGATACCGCGCCCAGCCCTTTTTTTTTTTTTTTTTTTTGAGACTGAGTCTCACTCTATCCCCCAGGCTGGAGTACAAGGGCACGATCTCCACACACTGCAACCTCCACCTCTGGGTGCCAGCGATTCTCGTGCCTCAGCCTCCCGAGTGGCTGAGACTACAGGCATGCACCACCATACCCAGCTAATTTTTGTCTTTTTAGTAGAGACAGGGTTTCACCATGTTGGCCAGGCTGGTCTTGAACTCCTGACCTCAGGTGATCCACCCGCCTCGGCCTCCCAAAGTGCTGGGATTACAGGCATGAGCCACCGCGCCCAGCCTAAAAAACCTATTTATTGAATACAATATACACTGCTTGGTGATGGATGCAATAAAATCTCAGACTTCTTCTCCCCATGTTGCCTTTCCTTAAAACAGTTTCTTTTGTTTTTTGTTATCATTTCTATGTTCGTCCCTTCGTTCAGTCTCGTAACGATGGTCTCAGGAAGTAACAGAAGTGACTGCTGTAATGACGGTCTCAAGCAGTAACAGTAGTAACTGCTGTAATGACAGTCTCAAGTAGTAACAGTAGTAACTGCTGTAGTGACCATCTCAAGTAGTAACTGCGGCAGTCAGCCACAAGTGTGGCTATACAATTCATCCAAATAACTAAAAGCCACTTGTACTCTAAAAGCTATTGAAATAAATATATATATATTATATACTCAATGGATCAATTACATGGCAAATTAAATACAATTAAAGACTTAGAGATAGTCTTTCACAAGATATGAAAGAAACAAAAAAGTGTAAGGAAAATGAAAGGATAAAAAAAAATCGACCTAATTTCAACTGGAGGACATAAAAATAGGAGAAAATAGAGGATATTAAATATTCAAAGAGATAACACTATAATTTTCCAGCTCTAATGAAAAATATAAACTCTCAGATAGAGAAGGCGTAATTTAACATAAATCACCTTAAACAGAATAAATTTCAAAAACAATCCATACCTAGATACATTATGGTGAAACTGCATATCAAAAGTAAATGCATTTTAAAATAAAAATAATTTCTTTCTTTCCCAATTCAGGTTGTTGTAAAGATCTAATGAGAATACATAATTTACATAAATCTCAATAAATATTTTAGTCATATGTACTAACTTTATGAGAAATCCTCTCAATCTTGTGTGTTTTGAAAACCATTACAGCCTGGCTGGCTGTGTTTTTGCATCCAAATGAATGAAACAGTTTTGCTGCTTCTTTTACTTTCTAACTGCTTAAAAGCAAAGGTTCTTGAAGACTCACTGTAATATTTATCTTCATTAGCTGGAATTAGCAAATGACAGAGCCAAACTACATGAGACTGAAGCACCCTTTCCAGTACCATTCATAACTGCTAAACAAACATTTACAGCAAGTCTACGATATGCAAGGAATTCCAAATGATGCAAAGATGATTAACTAGGTAATTTTCCTTTCAGCCTGTTAATAAGGTAGGCAGTATCTTATCTGAACACATGCCAGCTATTGGTAGGAAGAAAAGATATTAAACTTCTGGTTGTACACAGTTGACTATGCAACTGATGAATTCAGTGAATAAGAATATATTTTTAGTATAAATAAAACAAAGTTTAAAAAAATCAGACATGCTTCAAACTACCCTCCCTTAATGCCAGATTCAAGTAAAAAGTCAATTTAACATTATTTACTCTTTTGCTTTACATGGGGTCCTTACAGTTTTGACAATCACAATAGAGAATGTACTGCAAAAAAAAAAACATGGAATGAAAACATATTTGTATGTAAGAAAGCCTCTACTGACAGAATCCTAAGTGTTTCTTTAAGCTTTTCCAAAGCTACAAAGAATTTCTAAAGCAGATAATTAGAGATTTACAATGAGTACTATTTAAACCCTCTAGATTTAAAAAATGTTTATTATCATTAGGACTTCATATGATCTGAAACTTCTGGAGAACAATATAAAATTAGGACTTCATATGATCTGAAACTTCTGAAGAACAATATAAAGCTGTCAGAGATATAATATAAAACTGGAGAACAATATAAAACTGTCAGAACTCTGGGGCAAGAATTATAATTGAGACCCCCAATAGAAGACAATGAAACTAATGAAAACAGACACATAATAGATAAATAATCGTCAATTATCTTAAAGATAGAAATAAGCAACACAATTCAGTACAGTCTCTTTAACAGCAAAAGACAATGGAGTGGATACGTTCAGGACAATGTTCAGAAAAAAAAACCTTAAAGCAGTTTTCAATGGGAGGAAAGTTTTCAATGGGAGGAAATACACTATATTTGCTGGCAAGGAATTTACATACCATAAATGATTATTTCAAAGGTACCATGAAAGAAAACATTCCTTACCACTCTAACAAGGGGATTGTATGATTAAAATAATAAATGAAAGACAAAATCCCTATCCCTAAGTAACACTGCTGTTATATATTTTAAAGACTGTTTCCCAAGCACATTAACCTTTAAAAGACATCTGTACAAAAATCAGGTCTCATTATCCTCAATACAATCACTACCATCATAGGTTAATTATGGAGATGACAATATAACAGCATATTATCACCAACCTGCACATTTCAGTTCTCCAGTATCTGCACTGCCCTTTTCTTTGACTTCTACTAAGAAACAATCACTAGATAAAAGTGACAGGAGTTGTCCATTTTTTTTGGTTTTAATGAAGTAAATTTTAATCCACTCACAAAGACTATACAGTAGTCCCCTCACCCCCAATCAGCAGTTTTGCTTTCCATAGTTCCAGTAATCCAAGGTCAACCATGGTCCAAAAATAGGTGATTATAGTACAATAAGATATTTTGAGAGAAAGAGAAGGTAGACCACATTCACACAAGTTTTACATTATTTTAATACTTCTATTTTATTTTACTTATTGTTGTTAATCTCTTACTGTGCCTAATTTATAAATTAAACTTTATCTTAAATATGTATGTATAGGAAAAATATTGGGTTCAGTATTATCTGTGGTTTCAGAAAACCATTGGGTGTCTTAGAACCCAGTTAAGTGGGAGAACTACTGTAATTTACAATACAAGGAATTACCAAAGGAATAGTTTTTTCTCAGTGTGACTTATCAGTTACTTAACTGAAATTTCTGCCTTATTTCAAGATCCCAGGCTAATCCACAAAACAATAATAGCAGATATTTTGATTACTGACAATGTCTTAGGCAACATAAATATACATACTCACTTCATTCTAACATTACTATGAAGTGGGTAATGTCACCAATCCCATTACAATGATGAGCAAAGCAAGGCTCAGAAAAGTTAAGTGACTTTCCCAAAGACACATATTATTAAGCAGTTGAACTGAGATTTAAGCCAGATCCCCTAACACCAAAGTTCCTATGCTACTTACCTAACTACTAAAGTAATACACCATTATGTACTTTGGTAATTCTCTGTTAATCCTTCTACTGCCTGTATAAAATTCCATAGTGTGGATGCACTAGAATCTACTGGGCTGGTGCAAAAGTAATTGTGGTTTTTGCCATTAAAAGTAATGTTAAAAAAAAAAAAAGCCACCACACTTGGCTAATTTTTGTATTTTTTTAGTACAGACAGGGTTTTGCCACGTTGGTCAGGTTGGTCTCAAACTCCTGACCTCAAGTGATCCACCTCCTCCCTCAGCCTCCCAAAGTGCTGGGATTACAGGCGTGAGCCACCATACCTGGCCAAGAGTCAGAATTTATATGTTAAAAGAAAAGCTGCAGATCAATAAGCATCCAGCTCAGGAATGTTTTTTTTAAATAGCAAGTTAAGCCCGCCCAAAATAGAAAATTATTAATAAAGAATACTAAAGAAGAAAGAGATAAATAAAATCAAAAGTTAGTTATTTGAAAAGAATAATAAACCTGCTAACTTCAATAACACTAATCATGGGAGGATATGATGGCTAACTCTCCAAATAGCCCCCGGTGATCCCTACCTTCTGGTACAGTTGGCTCTGAGTATCTATGGGTTTCACATCCATGGACTGCCAAACCACAGATCAAAAATATTTGGGGGAGAAAAATGAATGGGTATGGGTGCATCTGTACTGAACATGTACTGAATTTTTTCCTTTTCATTATTCCCTAAACAACACAGTACAATTATTTACATAGCAATTATTTACAAACAATTATTTACACAGCATTACATTGCATTAGGTATTATAAATAATCGAGATGATTTAAAGTATACAGGAGGATGTGTGTAGGTTATATGCAAATACAAGGCCATTTTACATAAGGGATTTGAGCATCCATGGATTTTGGTATCTCTGAGGTGTCCTGAAACCAATTCCCCACGGATACTGAGGAATCACTACATTTACTTCCTTGTGTAATTCCTTCCAGTTGATTTTGGGCTGGGCTTAGTGACTCACTTCTAATGGACAGAACAAGGCAGAAGTGATGGTATGTGACTTGGAGACTAAACCAATGAAAGCATTAAGGTGTCACTCTTTTACTCTTAGGTCACTAGCTCTAGTGGAGGCCATGTCATAAGCAAGTGCTGTGGAGAGGCCCATATGGCAAGGAAAGGAACCAAAATCTTCTGCCAACAGCATGTGAATGAGCACAGAAGTCAATCTACCAGCTCCAGTCATGTCTGTAACCCTGTAGCCCTGGCTGCCAGCTGAACTACAACTTCTTGAGATATCCTGAGCCAGGATCTCAACAGGCTTTGTTTATTGTCTCTGAGAGTTTGAAAAACTGACTCTAAAATTTCTACAAAATTCAAAGCTCCAAGTACAGACACACTCTTAAAAAAGAAAAACAAGGTAGGAAGACTACCTCTACATATATCAAGACTTATAAAAGCTATAATAATGAAGATGGGGTAGTATTGTTGCAGGATCAACAGACCAATGGAATGGAGTCCAGAAACAGATTCATACAGACTTACATGGATGTCTTATAACTCAGGGGTCAATGCAGAGTAGGGAGAAACATATGATCTTTCCAACAAATGGTTTGGGGTCAAATTGATGTCCAAGTGGAAAAAAATTTTGATCCCTGCTATATTTGATACAAACAATACATAAAATCATTTTCAGATGACTATAACTCAATGTAAAATATAAAATAAAAAAAGCTTCTAGAAATTTTAAATAGTAAGACAAATAACAATAGGAAAGATTGAAAAGTATAGATTACAATAAAATTAAGAACTTTTATTCCCCCAAAGATATCAAAAGAATGCCACAAAATGGGAAAAATATCCACAACACATATAACCACCTTGTATTCAGAATATATAAAGAACTTCTACTAATCAACTGAAAAAAAGATAACTAATTAGAAAAATGGACAAGAATTTCAATAGCCGTTTTACAAAAAAAGGATATTCATGTGCCAATAACCACAGGAAACAGTCCTCAGCATCACTAATCAGGCAAATGCAAATTAAAACCATAAGGAGATACATAACATGTAACAACATCAACGAATCTCATAAACACAATTTTGAACAAAAGATGCTAGACACAAATACTATATTCCATATGATTCTATTTGTATAAAGTTCAAAAACAGAGGCCGGGCACGGTGGCTCACGCCTGTAATCCCAGCACTTTGGGAGGCTGAGGCAGGCGGATCACGAGGTCAGGAGATCGAGACCGTCCTAGCTAACGGGAAACCCCATCTCTACTAAAAATACAAAAAATTAGCCGGGCATGGTGGCGGGTGCCTGTAGTCCCAGCTACTCGGGAGGCTGAGGCAGGAGAATGGCATGAACCCGGAAGGTGGAGTTTGCAGTGAGCCAAGAACGCACCACTGCACTCCAATCTGGGTGACAGAGCAAGACTCTGTCTCAAAAAAAAAAAAAAACCAGACTAAACTATAATGTTAAGAATCAATTTAGTAGTTACCTTGAAGGGGGTAAAGGTTAGGAGGGGAGATGAACGGATTCTTGGGTGCTGGTAATATTCTATTTCTTGCCTTGAATGGTAGTTCTTACAAGTATTTGCTTTGTAGAAAAAATCACTCAGATTAACAACTAGGTTCTGAACACTCTTCTTTCTGTATTACATACATCACTAAAAGTGATTTTAAAAAAAAAGCAAAACATAATAACAAACATAGCAGAGTTTAGCATGGCTAACTTCAGCCAACTGGAAAATTAAATTACACTGAACTGCTCACTTTTCCCCCAAGTTCCAGTAATTGAGGGATTAAAAATCTTAAGATTTGGCTTTCAGGCAGACCAAAAAACCCCTACAAATATTCCCCCAGCTAACTCATGTAAATAAGTATTCAAAACAGAAATAACATATATTGCATTGTCTGATTTCCTATAATGGTTTTCTTTTTAAAACCCCAAAAACATAAAAAATGCAAAAAGAAAGAGGAAGAGTAAGGAAAGAAAAACAACGAAAGATAACATAATTAGCTCCCAATAAACCAGACATTAGACAATCATCAATTCACTTCTAGTGTTTACTTTCAAGTTACCTTTAAGTAAAACATGAGATTTTCTTAGTGCAGCTTTTAAAATGTTTCTTATAAATGGACTGAGAATATCAATTAACTCACACTGTAATTGTAGTCAGCACTCAAGTGCATATAAAACATACACATTTGTTCTCTCCTGGCACAATACCTGAATTAAACAATAGTTAAGAGAGGACAGCAGATGTTTCAAGACAGATCACATCTTAAAAATGAGAGATGACAGATGAAGGGGAAAGTATGAGAACAACTTATGCTTTAGGAAAAGGACGGTAGAGAATTCTAAGGAGGAAACATTAATCTTTTTATGCTATGTGTATACAAGCAAAACAGATAAGGAACACTGAGATAAAAAGAGCAAGCCAAATGAAAAATGTGAAAGCAAAATCACAAAGTCCCCCAAAATAAGCAAAAAAAATTTATTTTATTTTTATTTTTTTAGACGGAGTCTCACTCTGTCACCCAGGCTAGAGTGCAATGGCATGATCTTGGCTCACTGCAACCTCTGTCTCCTGGGTTCAAGCGATTCTCCTGCCTCAGCCTCCTGAGTAGCTGGGATTACAGGCATGGGCCACCACGCCCGGCTAATTTTGTATTTTTAGTAGAGACAGGGTTTCACCATGTTGGTGAGGCTGGTCTTGAACTCCTGACCTTGTGATCCGCCTGCTTCAGCCTCCCAAAGTGCTGGGATTACAGGTGTGAGCCACCATACCCGGCTGCAAAACAAATATTTTTTAATAGTATTTTTACATTTCATTTTGAACAAATTAGGAAGGAGGTGGGGAAAAGGAAATAAACAACAACAAAACAAAAGAAGTGAAGAGGTAAGAGGCAAATAGTCGAAACCTTGACACTGACCAGAAAATCACCTTTCAGAGGTAAACCTATATCACAAACTTGCTATGAAATATTTTTGTTGTTGTTGTTGTTGTTGTTGAGACGGAGTTTTGCTCTTGTTGCCCAGGCTGGAGTGCAAGGGCGCAATCTCGGCTCACTGCAACCTCTGCCTCCCAGGTTCAAGTGATTCTCTTGCCTCAGCCTCCTAAGTAGCGAGGATTATAGGCACCCACCACCATGTTGGGCTAATTTTTGTATTTTTAGTAGAGATGGTGTTTCACTATGTTGGCCAGCCTGGTCTCGAACTCCTGGCCTCAAGTGATCCACCCGCCTGGGCCCCCCAAAGTGCTGGGATTACAGGCGTGAGCCACTGTGCCCAGCCTAAAATATTCTTAAGAAGTAATTTGAAAGTAATCAATATTGCAAAGCTGCAAAGAAACAGGCAGAAAGTATTACTTAACACTACCATTAACCACCTGTATGGTAATTTTCATACATAAACGGCTTTCACATATAATAGGTTGTCAATTCTGTGAGAGAACTTATAATTAGAGAATGCAGTGAGACCTCGTTTCAAAAAAAAGAAAAAAAAAAAAGAGGAAAAGGTCTCTAAGATGTGAAAACACTAAGTGTTCATTATACCATGCCATTTATAAATGTCCTTACCATAAAATACTCAGAGACTAAAAAAAATTGTTGACCTAAGAAAACAAAATTGAGTAGCATGGGACAGTAATTTGGAACCACTAGGTAAAATCCTTACCTAACACTGGTAGAGAGTGGATGAGGAGAAGAGGTAAGAAAATGAAGCTTATACTTGGGTTTATGCCATGGGGATTACCTTTACTGGAACTGCTTTATAACTGGGTATTTTTTGTTTCAGTGGTAACATCCCCAAGGATAAGGTGCAAGATGGCCTCATCCCTTAAGGTACTCATATCATTTTAAGTATGGTTCTAATAAGACTTGGTATCTGTACTATCTAGATTTTATATTTGATGTAAATATAACATCTTAACAGATTCATCAAGCTTCCCACTTAAAGAGATATCAGGTACAAAATAACTAAATTACCTTTAAGAGATGCTTCCTTTTAAATATGATACAAATTATCTTATAGAGATAGCTTTTAGATTCTCTTAAAATAAAAACTTTATACTTTTACTTCAACAAGCTTCTGCAGTAACAGCATGACCAGAATCTGGTAAATTGTAACTTTCAAACTCTTTGAAATTTGGTCAAAATAAATCATCTCTTTTCAAGTTGTTTTGGGAATCCAGACTTTCAGAGGTACATCTTATGTGAGTATATTTTACTAACTGTATGTATGTAAAATCTGAACAAGTGGTTGGTAATAATGGATTGTTAAATACAGTAGGGTAGACTTGATGTCTAGACAAGATAGTGGTGAGAGCTGCACTTTAAAGAACATTGGTTACTTGCTCTGATAAAAAGGAAAAACAAAGAATGTTTCTATTATGTAAGGTTACTATGAAATGCTTAGATCTTGAACCTACAACAATAGATACAGCTGCCACTACTTTGAAAACAATTTCATTGGAATGCATCATATGCTAAAAGCTGATTATTTTCCATGTCCACAACTCTAGTTAACATTTTCAAGACTGTACATTTCACTAATCTTTACTTCTAGCCTCTTTAAATGTAAAACAAAAACAGATTATATATGAGAAACAGCAAGAGCTAGTGAGTGTTGGGAATCATCAGACAATGAGTAGTAGCTGAAATGAGACACTGTAAGAAGAGAAAATGGCCACAGCTACAACACTTACAATTAAATCTAACACCCTATCTACGGAAGAAAACCTGCTCTGCACAATTCATTAACTCAACAAATACTAATTACTGACTGACACATAACAGTGGTATATTCGAAGGTTATTTAAAAACTTATTTTAATTTAAGAGCCCTGTGTCCTTAAGAAGGTTTAAAAAAAAAACTTAAAATTCTATAGTTAAATATGAAATTACTACACACAACTGTGTACAGAAAAAGTAATATTTAACTTTTAATTTTCAGTATGATTTAGATCAGGAAGAGACCTAAGATTATTCAGCCCAACCCTTTTATTTGGAGGGAAAAGCGAAGAAAAGCTAGTAAAGTAGCCCATATAGTCGCACAAATGGTGATAGTACGGAATTCAAAATAAAAAATATATTAAGTAGATTTAGACTTACAACAGACTCTTAATAAAGCTAATAACAATCAACAAAATAAAGTCTGAATTAACTCAATTTTTCTTAGCTAATTGTAATAAGGAAAGGGGTTCCTAAATGGCTAAGAAGTAAAGTTTCACATAACAAAGCTGGCATAGCTATGACTATAATAAAAATTGTCTTTACAGAAACAAAAAATATTCAGGATAAGTGTTTTGAAGTTAAAAGAAAGAAAAGAACACCAAAATAATCAATCCCTTTCCCCAAGTGTCCCTGATTACTCTATTTCTTTATGTTTAAGAACCTCAGAATGGGCCGGGTGCGGTGGCTTACGCCTGTAATAGGTGGGTAGATCTCTCGAGCCCAGAAGTTGGCGACCAACATGGGTAACAAGGTGAAATCCCATCTCTACAAAAAATACAAAAAAAAATTAGCTGGGAGTGGTGGCACACACTTGTAGTCCCAGCTACTCAGGAGGGTGAGGTGGGAGTATTGCTTGAGCCTGGGGGGTGGTGGCTGCAGTGAGGTGTAATCGTGCCACTGCACTCCAGCATGGGCGACAGAGTAAGACCCTGTCTCAAAAAACAAACAAATAAACAAACAACAACAAAAAACACCTCAAAATGGTACCTTCCCTATAACTAAAATGATTCCTATCTATATTTTAACTATAAATTACCTGATGAATATATAATCAGCTCTTTTTTCAAAAGATAGCATACTTATAGGCAGCAGACACCAACCTTTTTGGCAACAGGGACCAGTTTTGAGGAAGACAATTTTTTCCACGGAAGGAGTGAGAGGGCACACAACCTAGATCCCTCGTGTCTGCAGTTCACAATAGGGTCTGCGCTTCTGTGACAATCTAATGCCACCACTGATCTGACAAGCAGTAGAGCTGAGGAGGTAATGCTCACTCCCCTGTCCTCCCTCCCCCCTCCCCATGGCCACTCACCTCCTGCTGTGACGCCCAGTTCCTAACAGGCCACAGACCAGTAGCGGTCCACAAGCCCAGGGGTTGGGGACCCCTGCTTATAGGTAGAAAAATAAACATTTTCATAAAACAGCATTATATTAGGAGAGTGTTCTGAAAGAGCCAAAGAGGTTTAAAAACGAATTCATGGTACTTGTTCTTTTCTCATTTATTATCTACCAAATAAAAATAAAAAGAGAGAGACTCGTCCTTCTACAGATGGCAAGTTTTTGTAATTTGAAGAGTATAATATATTTAAAAAATATTTTCAGGCACATCCCTGCAATTGTTTTGGTTTAGGCTTTATTAATTGTATTTACAAACACAATTTTTAAGAAAGGTTGACGGTGACTGGTACAAGCAAGAAATTAAGATTCTCTGCAAACTCACATTCTGATTACTCTCAAACCTGGCATGTGACATCCACAATATTAAACCAAAAACCTCCCAGAATTGTTCATTTTAAATGTAATGCTTTACTCATTAAAAATATACATGCATATCTTTTAAAAAATATGGAGAAATCAGGGACTGTATTTGAAAACATGGTTCACAACAGATGTAAATATCTATTAATAATGGGCTAATATGGAATGATCTCTAAGAATACCGAACAGCATACAGAGTATAGCCACTTGCGTGCACGTGTGTGTGTGTGTGTGTGTGTGTGTGTGTGTGTGAAAGAGAGAGAGAGAGAGAGAGAAAGAGAGAGAGAGAGAGACAGGGTCTCGCTCTCCCCTGTTATTTCAATCAAGTTTTTCTACCAGTTACATTCTTAAGAGAACCTCTCCTTTTAAGAACTGCATCTTAGCACAGTGGCTCACACCTATAATTCCAGCACTTTGGGAGGCTCAGAGAGGAGGATCACTTGAGGCCAAGAGTTTGAGAACAGCCTGAGCAACAGGCTGTGAGATTCTATACAGTAGTTAGGGACTACTCGAAGGTCACTTGCAGGTTTATGACTCCACCTGTCATCCATCCAACAAGTATTTCTTTTTTTTTTTTTTTTTTGAGACGGAGTCTCGCTCTGTCGCCCAGGCTGGAGTGCAGTGGCGGGATCTCGGCTCACTGCAAGCTCCGCCTCCCGGGTTCACGCCATTCTCCTGCCTCAGCCTCCCAAGTAGCTGGGACTACAGGTGCCCGCCACTACGCCCGGCTAATTTTTTGTATTTTTAGTAGAGACGGGGTTTCACCGTTTTAGCCGGGATGGTCTCGATCTCCTGACCTCGTGATCCGCCCGCCTCGGCCTCCCAAAGTGCTGGGATTACAGGCGTGAGCCACCGCGCCCGGCCACAAGTATTTCTTGTAAGCCTGCTACACATACTGTTCTCGGTGATGGCAGATGTAGCAGTAAATAAAACAAGATAAAACAAAGCCCTTGTTTTCACAGAGCATCCATTATGGTAAGGGGAGAAAAGGAAATAAAAACATGTCAAGAAAAAAAAGGACAGTAATTTTATATAAAATAAAGACATTCATCTTTGTGTTAAAGATAGATATACTGAGCAAACCTTTTACTTATGCTCTCATTTAATTGGTATCTTGAAAGGTACCAACTGCCTCCCAATCACCAAATTAAACAGAATTTTCTCAGTCTCCATTTTCCTTATATTCCTCTAAGCATCTGATACTGCTCACCACCTTCATTTTGAAACTCCAATGGTTTGCATGACAAATTTCCTATTCTGGTTCTTATCTTTTCACATTAGTGTGACATTAACATAAGCTACACGGTCACATCTAGGATTTGAGACCATTCCCTATCCAACAAAAGGAAACGGATTTAATTGATGTAGAAATCGGACAGCACCTAGAGAAAAGTTTTCACTTTGTTCTTAATTTCCAATAGGTTTTAGAATATTATTATCAATGTAATTACATTTATTCAACGCACTAGAGAGTAACAACATCAATAAGCACCTGTACAAAATGTTACATTTTATAAAACCCTTTCACATTTACTTCATTTAATCCTCATAAAATGAAAATAACCCCATAATAGTTGCACATTAAAAACAAAGTCCTGCTTTTCAGAATGACTTCACTAAAAAACTAGACTTAAATAGTATCCTTTATTTTTCCTTTAATATTTGGAAACTACCTTAAAGTATAATGAAAAAACATAAGAAACATCTGTAATCCCAATATTCAAAAATAACATTTGCTAACATTTTGCTACATTGAACATTTCTTCCATCCCATCCCTATTAACTTTAATAATTTTTAATTGCTTCATACTAACTAGAATATTAATATTCTGTAAAAAAGAAGTCTGTTTTTTATTTAAAAATAAACAATCCAGGTGGGGGACCATACTGATCAAACTGACTGTGAAGTCAACTCAAACAATTTTTATAATTTTTTAAGTTGTAGTTTTAGAGTTACAGGTGGAAAAAGAAATGAAGCATATTTATTCAATAAATGTTTACATGTGCAAAGCAACACAAACAAAAATTATGTACATGAAGACAACTAGACTCTCACCTGTTCAATCTCTTTGGTTTTTGATGCTATTGCTTTAGAGCGAGTGGTTAGCTGACTATCTTCAAATAATTCTATCCCATGTGTTGTGTTTGACTCAGGTTCCTCTGGCTGGTCAGTAAACAATGGTGCTGTGGATCCCGCCTTGAAAAGGAATTAGAAATCTTTAATTATTTTCTTAAAAAACATAGAGCAGTTCAGATGGTTGTGTATAGGCACTAACTGGCAAATTATATTAAGTGCTAGATTTAACATGTTTTAAGAAAAGAAAACTCTCTCCATTTCACTATGCATAATGAGCATATGTGAAATGGATTAAAGAAGAAATGACTGCTACTTTTTTTTTTTTAATATGGAACACTTCATGAATTTGCGTGCCATCCTTGTGCAGGGGCCACGCTAATCTTCTGTTTCATTCCAATTTTTAGTGCATGTGCTGCCGAAGCAAGTGAGGCTGTTACTTTTTAAATTTTAGGTAAGACAAAGCCTCTAGGCCTATTCGATTCCAAAATATTATTTCACATTATATTAAGATACAGATAAAAAATTATTGTCCCTTGACTATTCCTTAAGTGATCAGTTTACGAAATACTGAGGAGAAAAAGTCCAAATGGAAGTGAGAGGTGTTGTACACAAATAAAGAAATATATTTAAAGGGAATATGAGAAAAGGCTGTATTTTTAGAAGTTAAATCACCTTGCTCCTGTAGCCTAATAATTCACTGAAATCATTAAAAAGAAAACCCCACAAATCAATAATGATCACTTCAGTTTTAGACCAATAATTAAAAATGAATAAATATACTGTGAATTATGTCTAAAACGGTCAGGTGGGAGATTAAGTATTGGAATACATATATGCATAGACTGTCTCTGGAAGGACACTACAGAAAAAATTATCAAAGGAGTTGTCTCAATAGTAACAACTTAGAAGAAGTAGCAAAGAAGAGCCACATTGTAAATACTTTGGTGTCATTTGAATTTCTGACACATACATGTATGATCTACCAAAAAAAAAAAAACCCGAGGCAGGCGGATCACGAGGTCAAGAGATCAAGACCATACTGGCCAACATGGTGAAAACCCGTCTCTACCAAAAATACAAAAATTAGCTGGGTGTGGTGGCAGGTGCCTGTAATCCCAGCAAGAGAATCACTTGAACCCGGGAGGCAGAGGTTGCAGTGAGCCAAAATCACACCAGCGCCACTGCACTCCAGCCTGGCGACAGAGCCAGACACTGTCTCAAAAAACAAACAAACCTAGTTTTTTTTTTAAAGAAGTTTGAGTTACATATGTTAAGGGACTTATACCAAAAGCATAAAAATCATTTAAGAAAAGAATTCCACTAGCAACATTCTTTGTAAATTGCCCAGTCACTGGTGTTCTGTTACTGCAACACAAAACTAAGACATAGGCCTATACACAATATGTAAAACTAAGACATAGGCCTATACACAATGTGTAAACTGGTGAGCAAAGAAAGTACAACAGAGAAGACAGGAGCTTTCAGAAACAAAAAGCAAGTGAAAAAGGGGAAAAAAAACTGACAGTTAATTTAAAAGAGCTCATTAGTAATTAAATGTATTTCAATTAGATATATATGTCCGAGGTACTGTACAGAAAACAAAGCAAGTGTTTGAGATACATTCAACATATATCACTAGGCAAAAAAATTAAGGTCATCAATGAAATATAAAGTGGCATAAAATGTTATAGTAGGTAGAAAAGTGGAATCAAGATCTTGAGTTGTATTATCTCCAACACTAGTGATTCCACTGAATGAGTATAAATTTGAAAGAGAGCCATGGAAGATGGTCATTCTAGACTAGGGACAGAATAAGCACAGACATTGAAGCCAAAAATAACACCCTATATGTGAAAACAACATAAGTCGTAAATTTTAAATTTTTCCTCTACAGCAGGAAGTGACCTGTTCTACTGAGACTTTTTTTTTTTTTTTTGAGACTAGGTCTTGCTCTGCCACCCAGGCTGGAGTGCAGTGATGCAGTCACAGCTCACTGCAGCCTCAATCATCCAGAAGCAAGATCCTCTCACCTCAGCCTCCTGAACAGCTAGAACTACAGGCACATGCCACCATGCCCAGCTAATTTTTTGTGGATTTTTTTTTTTTTTGTACAGATGGGGTCCCACTATTTTTGCAGGTGTAAGCCAGCATACCTGCCCCGCTGTCCCCATTTCTTTTTTTTCTGAGACAGGGTCTTGCTCTGTCACCCAGCCTGGAGGGCCATGGTGTGATCACAGCTCACTGCAAACTTCAATTCCTGGGCTCAAGTGATCCTCCCACCTTAGTCTCCTGAGTAGCTGGGACTAAGCGGCCACCACACCCAGCTTTTTTTTTTTTTTTTTTTTTTTTTTTTTTTTTGTAGTGACAAGACCTTACTACATTGCCCAGGCTGGTCTGCAACTCCTGGCCTCAAACAATCTTCCTGCCTAGGTCTCATCTACCAGGACATTCTAATATCCTTCAAACAATTTTCTTTTCATTCTGACAACCAAAAGAAAACTCTCACAGCTATTTGTTTAAGGACAGCAAATTATATCTCTACAAAACTTGACTGCAACCTTCTTGATGGCTAGGATGGTACCTCAAAAGCAATGTCTGACACAAGTGGATATACAATGCATATTTAGTGAATTTAAATAAACTATAAGAAAACTAGTACAGTATTTTTTAAGTGTGCCTTAAAACACTAATCCTGAAATACATGCTGTGAAAAAAATTACATAGTCAAAAGTTTGGTAAATTATGCAAACTCTTTTATTATCCTCTTACTGAACACCGATGAACATATTAATAATAAATTAAAATCTCTAAAAAGTGCTGAAATATCAAAACCAACCTAACTCTTTTAAACTTAGCATCTCAAATAAACTGGCTACTAGAATCTTTTTTTTTCTTCCTCAGACCATTAAGACCCTTCAGATATGCTGTCAAATACCTTGGGAAATGCTGTAGTAGAGCCCAGAAGATGAAAGTATAAAACTGAAAAGTGGCAGGAACCACAACATGCCTGAATATTTAAGTATATTATTGAATTTACCTTCAATTTCACTGGACTTTCTATGAACTACACGTTTTCCCAAACAAATTGCTTAGAACTATAATGAGGGCAGCAAGTGAAGACAAGGTGGAAACTTAAGCATTCATTCTATCTATCTCAGCTCATAATAATGAAATTTACACAATGTTTCTGAAGTACATGAACCATTACTTAAAAGGCTCATATAAAATAAAATATTGCCACAATTAGATTTAAACAGACACGCACATGCACACACACACATACACAGTACTTTGCCAAACTCTTGCTTGGCATCAAAGGCCTTTCTTCTTTCCAGGCTATTCTGTCAAATTAGATATCAGTTTACAGGACCAAGGCCAAAATTATATTTCTCAAAAAGCACGGACCACTGAAATGAGTAACTATTTAACAATAGCCTGAGAACAAATTAGCAAAATATTAATAAGCTAAAGTATTAATAAGAGAAAAATATTAATATGATATGGGACTAAGTTTACAAAAATTATCTCAAAAATTTCCCAAATGATTTCCAGTACGAAAAAGTATCAATCTAAGTAGAAAAATATTTTAGAGAATGGGATGAAATTGATGCTGCTGTTCAACATTAATGACATACAGAAATAAACATATTATGGTTATCAGTGCTACTCTCACATATCTTGCCTTTGATCCAACAAAAGAACACGTCTGACCTATGACTCAACTTACAGATTTTTTTTAGGGTTATTTACTTTTCATTAATTTGAAATCTAGCGAATTCTGAGCAAATTTTAGAGGAAAAAAAAGATGTTTAAAAAGTCTTTCTAGATCCGAAGTCACTCATGGATTATTCAGTGTCAAGATGCATTCAAGAAATGAGAGAACCCAAGCAGAATATTTAAATTTGAGAACAGTAGTGAGCTTTTATAAAAACCTGAGATAAAAAATGATGGGAGAAGGGAGGATAAATATACTATTAATGTTCATAAATTAATAAAGCCTTGTTAATTGGAGATGAAGTATTAAGAAATTATTCTTTTTGAAAGTTTTTGGTTCCATAAAACAAACTACCAATATTCCAAAGCAGCAATTTTGAAGCATAAATATCAATGATTAATGTAGAAACATTATTCTAAATTATTAGAGAAAATAACCAAAATAATCCAATTAAATGTATTACTGAAAAGTATTGTTCATGCTTTTAAATAGTGCTGGAAAAGTACCAAGAAGGAACAGCTTGGTGTTTTTGATACATTTACTGGAGAATATGCATAAATATCTATTATTATAGCTACAATAAGGAGGAAACCTTGACCCACTTAAGAACAATCGATATCTAAAAGACAGATCAGCATTTTTAAAAAGAAAGGCTCTATTTGCGTAAGTTCTGATAGGGTTTATACTTTTTATGAGCAGTGTACATTAGTTACT
The DNA here is from genome assembly GCF_000001405.40 of Homo sapiens. NCBI lineage: Eukaryota > Metazoa > Chordata > Mammalia > Primates > Hominidae > Homo > Homo sapiens. Next base: position 42,394,544 of record NC_000012.12, on the reverse strand, counting down.
TTGGAAAGGATCTTTTCACTGTATAAAGATGTAGTTAAGTATTATTTTTACATACAATATCAATGCTTGATCCCTTTTATCAAAGAACATTCTATAAAAGTCATTCCAAAAGTAAATCAAAAAGCCAGAATGCTCCTTCAAATAAAAATAATTTGTCACGGGACGGATTTTTATATTCTCTACCTGTCATGTCAAAGAATTCCTATAGTATCAAATCCTGAATCTAAAAGCTTAATTGTGACCACAGAATTTCTATATTTCCCTTTTAGAGATGTTACAGTTTATACAGAAATTTTTCAGTTCATTTCAAAATATGTTAATACAAACGTGTCATAAACCTTTTTCTATGGTCCCAAAAATGTTCCCATCTTTCGGTATTCAAGACTCATCAAGGTCTCGGGTTGCCCAGACAATGAATAATTTTATTTCTTGGGATATTTATGAGATAATCTGCATGAAGTATAACAAGCAATATAAATATGGTCCACAATCCAAGGTCAAATTAGATTTCTGTTCTGAATTCACTGGTTTATAACTAGTGGCTTAGCATGATTTCCTGAGATACTTTTAACAGCAAAGCCCATTAAAAGAAGTATATAAATAACGCATTTTTCTTATACTCCATATTTATACTATTCTTACACACCAAAACTACAGGAAACATTCAGACAAAGCGTGATTACTGAATTCAGAGTCATTCATATTCTGACTATCATTCTGTGTGGTAATTTTAATACCTGTAATCCATAAGGATATATTTTGAAGTATAGGAATAAACCAAATATTTTTCGCCCATAATTTAAAATCCAGACAAAACTTTCAGATGTGAAACATAAAGGAGACATTATGCCTTACCTCATACTCAGAAATTTCAGGCAAGTTACTTTCATCTGATTTCTCTAGCTTTTCAGCAGCCCACTTGCTTGCAGCCTCAGCAAGTTCCTTTTCAGTTAGCCTACTGGGTTTGTCTAACACCTAATAAAAATAGAACATTTCTGTTACAATTCTCAAGGGCTTTTAAACTTCAAATACACCAAGAAGTACACTCCACTTACATTTAAAATCATATAAGCCTCCAAATTTCTATGGAGAACAGGTACATTCTTTATTTCCTCCTTCAAAAATATTCAACATGGAATTACTTTAAGTAGCAATTCCTTTGGGACATATAGACCAGATCTAATTCTTAATTTCATTTACATAAGACTCTAGAAATTCATCTAAGTAACAAAGCAAAAGACACTGACAATTAACTCATATAATAATTATATTTAGAATATAAAAGACATCATACTGATTTCAACTTTGTGCCTTTAAGCATATTTAATGAAATAAGTAATGTCTAAATTTCAGTAAAGCAAACTCCTAATACAACAGAAACGTACAGATATGCTATTATTACAGTGTACAGTGAGTTACATAAATCCTACTCCTTACACAAAATTTTTAAACTTAAATTTCATTTTTTGATCCTACTACTAGTTCCTTTATCTAACTGCACACAATACTAAACAAGGTATGGACTTTGCAGTTATATACAGACCTGGCTTTGAATCGCAGTTTAATGACTTGCTAGGTAGATGACTTTATACACCTAACTTACGACACCATGAGCCTTGGTTTCTTCATTTACAAAATAGGGGTTAATAATGCTCACTTTGCAAAGCAGTTGTGAGAATTGAAGGAGGTAATAGATCTGGAAGTATCCACAATAATGCTTGGTACCTTAGTGTTTCTTTCTTTTCCATATTCACTGATGTGAATCTATTATACTAAAACATATCTGAAAATCAATCAGCCAATGGGCTCAATATAAAAATGAAGAAAGTAAAATGTCTTTTCTGGATCAGATATAATTCCCCCAGTACTGTTTAAAGGCTTATTTTGTAAATAAGATATGAATTGTCAAGCACAAATTTAAAAATTATTTCCTTAGGGCCGTTAAGGTAATTCTCTGATTCCATTCTACTTCCTTGGTATACATTTTCATCAGCTTTGCCCTGCCATGCTTAGTTGCATAACCATCTCTTCTTAAAAAACCTTCTATTACTAAGCTTTACTTCTCTAAAGTCACATCACTGATTCCAAATATACCTCTTGTGGATGACAGTGCTGGGCACTGAACTTATGGGGCACTACCATTTATAAAGTGCTTTTATCTATGAACCAAAAGAAGTACTTTAATTAAATAGAATTCCATGAAGGTGATTAGAGAGGCTTTATTATCCCAACTCATAAACTAAAAAACTGAATGATGGTGACCTGCTCAAAGTCATTAATAAATGCTGAGCTGGGACTTAAATCTAGGCTTTTTTGGGAGGGGCGAGGGGGAATGCAGTCTCACTCTGTCACCCAGGCTCAAGTGCAGTGCCGCGATCTCGGCTCACTGCAACCTCCGCCTCCTGGGTTCAAGCGATTCCCCAACCTCAGCCTCCCGAGTAGCTAACAGTACAAATGCGCACACCATAACCGGGTAATTTTTGTATTTTTAGTAGAGACAGGATTTCACCACGTTGGCCAGGCTGGTCTCAAACTCCTGAGCTCAGGTTATCCGCCTGCCTCGGCCTCCCAAAGTGCTGAGATTACAAGCATGAGCCAACGTGCCTGGCTTAGACATTTTTTTAACTGAAAAGGTCATTTGATGTTTTTCTACACCTTGTTAAATTCATCAAACTACTGGCTAGCCATCTACATTTACTGGAATATTATAGCAATATATCTATATGAAGTATATTCTACAGCCATTGAGGAAGCTTAAACAGCTCATTCCAAAGCCGTGTCCATATATAAGGTTAAAAAGGTATTATAAGTAATACTTTTATTATTACTCAGTAATAGAAGGTTTTTTTAAAAGCTAGTTAGAAGAAGAAAACACATATACAAACACAAATATATCCAAGAAAGTTGTTTTTTTTTCCAGGGGGTGAGGGGGCATACCTATTTAAGAGAAAATTAAAGAGCAAAAACAATTATATGACTTCTCTCTAGCAAAGAATGAAGCAGCTGGGAGCAGTGGCTCATACCTGTAATCCCAGCACTTTGGGAGGCTGAGGCGGGCGGATCACCTGAGGTCAGGAGTGTGAGACCAGACCAGCCTGGCCAACACGGTGAAACCCCATCTCTACTACATATACAAAAATTAGCCAGGTGTGGTGGCAGGCGCCTGTAATCCCAGCTACTTGGGAGGTTGAGGCAGGAGAATTGCTTGAACCTGGGAGGTGGAGGTTGCAGTGAGCCGAGATTATGCCATTGCACTCCAGCCTGGACGACAGAGTGAAACTCCGTTCTGCCCTTCAAAAAGAATGAAGCAAAAGCCTACTATAACTTATTGTCATTCTCTCTGCACATTCGAAAACCTATCATTTGAAACTAACAAACTCTGAAAAAGTATCCCAACATATGGGCAGCCATAATGTTACATCAAAGAGTTCACCAAATCAGGAAATCTAGCTCATAAAGCTCCCCACAGCTACCATGTGACCTTGGGCAAATCAAAGAGGGCGCTACCTTCTGAATATGTAAAATAACTATGGATCTAAAATTGTGATATTTTGATTCCATTTTAAGATTTTATAGTCTGGCTAGGCACAGTGGCTCACGCCTGTAATCACAGCACTTTAGGAGGCCAAGGTGGAAGGATCATTTGAGACCAGGAGTTTGAAACCAGGCTGGGCAACATAGCAAGACCCCATCTCTATTTTTATATACAAAAAAAAAAAAAAAAAACTTCACGGTCTGTGAAAAAAAAAATGCAAACATTTACATCAGGGGCATCCAATCTTTGGCTTCCCTGGGCCACGTTAGAATTGTCTTGGACCACACATAGAATACACTAACACTAAGAATAGCTGATGAGCTTAAAAAAAAAAAAAAGGAAAAAATCACGTAATGTTTTAAGAAAGTTTAGGAATTTGTGTTGGGCTGTATTCAAAGCCATCCTGGGCCACAGTTGCATGTAGATCAAGCTTGATCTACATGAAACTATCAGACAAAAGTAGTTAAAAATTCAACATGGTTGTTTTCCACTAAAACTTTTAACATGTAGCACAAAACTCTATGTTGTAACTTATATTCAGATAGCAGTATATTTCAGAGAAAATATTTCATATATAATAATTTGAATTTTTGTAGTGACTTTGATAGGCAGGTACTATTTACTCTTCTTTCATCTATTACCTGACATGAAAACCAAGGCAGTGTTCCAGGTGGGTAAAGCACCCTTGATATGTTTAAGACAGAACCATAATCCAATTGGTCTTTGCTATTCAAAATCCAGAATCCCAGAACCCTCAGACTTCTGGGAAAGTTCCAAAGATACAAGTTGTCACAAAGAAGCTGTTTTTTTCCTCCTGAGGCAGGGAAGCAGCTGCCCCCCAGACACCCAGTATATACCGCTAGGTGATATCTACTCTTCCTAAAAAGCCAAAAAGTATAAAAGGCAGAATGAAAAGAAGTAAAGCAGGTAACAGATGTAACAACCGTTATGGCTAAGAGAAAGGGTATGATATCTGTGAAGAGAACTTCTAACTGGAGAGAACAGATGGAAACAGCAACTTGTCAAGTTTTTAATTTCTGAGGATTTATGTTTTGAGATGCTAGAAAAGTAGGAATGAGAAGAATGGTATAGTGAGGGGTAGCTATGTCCTTAAGAAATTAATAACTCCTGAGCCCTCACTCTACTATAGAATAGAGATATGTACCTACTAAGATTTCTGTATGAATAAAAGAAAAAATACACCATACATGTTAGGTATCTGCCTACACTCCCAACTCCCCAAATAAAAGCACAATCCACCAGATATAACCCATCCAACCTGCTTATGGTCAAGATGAGAATATGGGTTGCAGCAATAAGTACTAAATTTGGCATAGACTGTGTTAAAAATTCAGTGAGAAAACTGCCCATTTTTCCTCATAGAAACTCGGGTTGCTATTTTCAAGCTGTGGTTATTTAAAATGTAAGCGGTTTTGTTTTTTGTTTTTTTGAGACAGAGTCTCGCTCTGTCGCCCAGGCTGGAGTGCAGTGGCGTGATCTCAGCTCACTGCAACACCCGCCTCCCGGATTCAAGCAATTCTCCTGCCTTGGCCTCCCAAGTACCTGGGACTACAGGCACGTGCCACCACACCCGGCTAATTGTTTTTTTTTTTGTTTGTTTATTTTTGTTTTTGTTTTGAGACGGAGTCTCACTCTGTTACCAGGCTGGAGTGCAGTGGCGTGATCTCGGCTCACTGCAAGTTCCGCCTCCTAAGTTCAAGCCATTCTCCTGCCTCAGCCTCCTACGTAGCTGGGACTACAGGCGCCTGCCACCACGGCCAGCTAATTTTTTTGTATTTTTAGTAGAGACGGGGTTTCACCACGTTGGCCAGGATGGTCTCGATCTCTTGACCTCATGATCCGCCTGCCTCGGCCTCCCAAAGTGCTAGGATTACGGACATGAGCCACCACACCCAGCCAATTCTTTGTATTTTTAGTAGAGACACGGCTTCACTGTGTTAGCCAGGATGGTCTCGACCTCCTGACCTCATGATCCACCCGCCTCAGCCTCCCAAAGTGCTGGGATTACCGGCGTAAGCCACCATGCCCGGCCTGTTTTTATTTTTCAGAGACAGCATCTTGCTCTGTCACCCAGGCTAGAGTGCAGTGGTGCAATCATAGCTCACTGCTGGCTCAACCTCCTGGGCTCAAGTGATCCTCTCACCTCAGCCTCCTGAATAGCTAGGACTACAGGTGCATGCCACCACATCTGGCTAATTTTTAATTTTTAAAATAAAGTCTTGCTACGTTACCAAGGCTAGTTGTGAACTCCTGGCCTCAAGCAATTCTCCCATCTCATGAAGGGGTGGCCTGCCCCTCCACACCTGTGGGTATATCTCGTCAGGTGGGACGAGAGACTGAGAAAAGAAATAAGACACAGAGACAAAGTATAGAGAAAGAAAAGTGGGCCCAGGGGACCGACGCTCACCATAATAAGGACCTGCACCAGCACCGGTCTCTGAGTTCCCTCAGTTTTTATTGTTATTTTCACTATCTCAGCAAGAGGAATGCAGTAGGAGAGCAGGGTGATAATAGGGAGAAGGTCAGCAAGAAAACATGTGAGCAAAGGAATCTGTGTCACAATTAAGTTCAAGGGGAGGTACTATGCCTGGATGTGCAAGTAGGCCAGATTTATGTTTCTCTCCGCCCAAACATCTCAGTGGAGTAAAGAATAACAAAGCAGCATTGCCGCCAGCATGTCTCGCCTCCTGCCATAGGGTGGTTTTTCTCCTATCTCAGAACTGAACAAATGTACAATCGGGTTTTATACCAAGACATTCAGTTCCCAGGGCAGGCAGGAGACAGTAGCCTTCCACTATCTCAACTGCAAGAGGCTTTCCTCTTTTAATAATCCACCTCAGCACAGACCCTTTACGGGTGTTGGGCTGGGGGATGGTCAGGTCATTCTCATCCCACAAGGCCATATTTCAGACTGTCACATGGGGAGAAACCTTGGACAATACCTGGCTTTCCAGGGCAGAGGTCCCTGCGGCGTTCCGCAGTGCATTGTGCCCCTGGTTTATCGAGACTAGAGAATGGCGATGACTTTTACCACGCATACTGCTTGTAAATATTTTGTTAACAAGGCACATCCTGCACAGCCCTAGATCCCTTAAACCTTGATTCCATACAACACATGTTTTTGTGAGCTCAAGGTTGGGGCAAAGTTACAGATCAACAGCATCTCAGGGCAAAGCAATTGTTCAGGGTACAGGTCAAAATGGAGTTTCTTATGTCTTCCCTTTCTACAAAGACACAGTAATAGTCTGATCTCTCTTTCTTTTCCCTACAATCTCAGTCTCTCAAAGTCCTGGGATTACAGGCATGAGCCACCACACCTAGCCAAAAATTTAAGTTTTTAAATGCAGCAAATTAGCTCCCTTGGCATAACAGTAAAGAATAAAAGCATCTGTACTAGTCAGTCCATCTCAATTTGTAATTCTTCTTTAAACTGATTTTAGAAATATAACAAACCTTTGATGAAGAAACTGCTGAACCACTTGAGGGTGAAGTATCTCTTGATGTTTTCAAAGACTGGACAGGCCTCTCTTTATCTATATAAGAAAACATAAGATGTAATTTTTTTTCTAGCTAATTTGTTTTTGATAAAGTAATTTTGTAATGGAATTAATGTGGGGGTCATACACTTATTTTAGTACTAAAACTTTTCATTACATTATTACATTAAATAGGTTAATATCTAAAACTACCTCTCAGAGGCTAAGCACCATCAACAATCTGAAATAACCTGGAACCAAAGGATATCATAGAAGCCAGTCTAGGCCACAGCACTGCTAGTAAGTAAACATGGAGCCACAGAGACTTCAAGAAAGGCAAAACATATTTTAAAACCATGAATGCTACTTCTTCCATGCTCCTAAATGCTAATTTTTGATATATCACAATAAAAATACAAAGGTAGTTATTATATAGATACCGAGGAGAACTAGTTAATCAAGGGGTAGCTCAAGAGGATCTACATAGGAACTTTAGCAGATATTCCTGAAATGTTTAGACAGTTTTAAACATAAAGTTAGAAAGCTATAATTCAGAGCACTAATCAGTGCCTGGCATTAATGAATGCCCAAATATTTGTTAAATGGTTAAAAATAAACCTGTATGAGATAAAGTCACTAATCTTTACCTTTAGTCACTTTACTCACATAGTGCTGTATGTATATTATTTTTTATAGAAACTTGAGCCAGAAAATACATTTAAACAATAGTACTTTAGCAGGTTCAACAACTCCCTAAAAGATAGGTTTAGTTAAATATACTCTTAAAAATTAATAACAGTGAGCTGTTACAGAAAAACATTTCATTAAATTGTCTATATGTGCCAAATATATAATCCTCTGCCCTTTGTTGCTAGAAAAACTAACAAAATTAATAACATGAGAAGAGAAAGTGGCATAAAATTTGGAGTCACACAGAAGCTGGTCGAGACTGGACAGTGGATTAACAGCAAAGCAGTCAAGAGCAAAAGCAGAGATAAAACGACTTTGAAACTGAGGCAAAGCCAGCTTCAGTCAAAAAGCCTCTTAAGCTCTTCCTGCCACAGCCAAGATAGATAAATAAGGTCCTGGAGGCTCAAAGACTTCCAACCACCTAGGAAAGTGGTGAATAACACCTTTCTAATGTCCTACAGACCCAAAACACTTTCTCTAGCCCAGTGGTTCTTAACTGAGGACAATTTTGCACCTCCCCTCCACAGACATTTGGTAGTATGTGCAGATATTTTTGACTGTCACAAGTGGGAGAGGGCTACTGGCATATATTTAGTAGAAGACAGGGATGCTGGCAAATGTCCTGCTATGGGGGACACCCCAACAACAAAGAATTAACTGGCCTTACATGTCAATTGTGCAGAGGTTGAGGACTCCTGCCCTAGGCTGAGTATTCCAGTTTTTAAGCTCCAACAGCTTTAGAACGATACAGCCCTAGAGTCTTTTAACTTGTGGTACTACAAGAGGCTTTCACCCTAAGCAACTTTAAAAGTTCTTGTAGACCTTAAAACTCAAAAGCACCACTACTGTATCCCAAATGGCCAAGAACATGATATACTTAAGTCATTCCTTATTGTATTTCCATTGCATGTGGCAAATTTCACATCATAGTGTGATAGTGTCAGTGTATCCCATTACACCAAAAGCTCCCAGAAGAACAAGTGCTATAGCTTATTCATTTCCAAATATCTGTGGCCTACTTAGCTCAAGTCCTTCAAGAAAAGGGTAGGCACTCGAAAATCAGATAAAAAGATGAACCTCACTTTTCTATACCTAAGATGCAATGACCTCCCAATCCTATTCAGATAAGCAATCCCTTCAAAGGAGACAAGGCACTGGACCAATCAGCATAGCACATTATGCTTATTAAAGGCATAATTACAGGCTCAATTCTTTAGCACTTATCAGCTAGACACAGAGGGGAAAAAAACCTGTCACAAGCAGCTGTTGATCTTTTGCTTAGTGTTTCCTTTACAAACATATCATCCCGAAGTATAGTCTTGGACCTTTCCTGATTTTAGCTGCCCAAAGGCTAATTTAAGTCGTTATCAACCAATTTCATGTGCAAAAGCAAAGGAACACTGAAGGGTGGTGCAGGAGGTTTATCATATACCCACATATATTCATATGTCCCTGTTGCAACAATGGGAGCAGAAAGCAAGCAGCAAAGGATAAAGAAAACAATGATACAAATGGCAAAAGAAAGAACACAAAAAGAGTAAACAGAAATCACTTGATCCTACTGTTGTCAGGTCCTATCTTCCAATGGCCTGTCTATTCTACAGATCTCAGCCTCCTACAGAATGGCTATTCCCATCCAGGAATGGCTAGCCCAGATACCAGCCCACAAATGCCCCCCAAATCCTAGTACCTAGGTCTACTGCTAACTGTGGTTCTCACAATAGACTAATGGAGCAGTTATACACTTTCCCCATTTCCATAACCGCTATCAGTTCAAGTCTCCCACCCCTTCACAATCCCAAATCAGAGTCTAGCTCAAAACTCACCTCTTTCAGGATTTCCTTCATTCTGCCGTTTGTAGGAGGCACCAGGACGCACGGACTCTATGGAAAGGTGGGCAGGGAGGAATTAACAGCAGCACCTCTGTGCCCAAGAGGAACAAGAGAAGAACTCAGAAGTAGGAGTGATGAGAACAGGGGCTTCTGAGCATTTTCTGGTGGCCCTAAACTCTTTCCTACCCTACTTTCAAGTTGGGCTGCCTGAGCAATCACCAGTGAAGGGGAATAAATAATGGGAGAAAAAAATCTCCATTTAAGGCAAGAAGCCAAGGGGAACTGTCAGGATAAGACCAGTCAAGGATAACAAGGGCAGAAAGGAATGAGAAAAGGTTCATAGAAAGACAAGACATTGAAAGTTGAAGACAAAGATCACATCTTATTCATCACTGAAAGTACCTAGTCGAATTCTCTCCATCCATAAAGCTGACACTGGAAGGCCTGAGAAAGGAGTACACCTGCATACACAGTCAAAAATGAAAGATGGATCACCCCTACCAGTTAAAAAAGGACACTGGTTGAGCCCCTAATTATCCCACACTTAGAATCTTGATATATTTTGTTAGCTTCCTTGTCTGCAAACTCTTAATGACATGGATGGAATCATCTTTCTAAACAGCCTAAATATACTAGTAGTCAGGGCTCCCAGGTATTTTTCCAGTAAGATACAAACTCCATAACAATGACTTCAAATCCTTCTACTACAGATCCCAAGTTGCCAATTTTACTTTTTTTTTTTCTCTGAGAAAATAACATTTTTTCTGAATTGTTTTGGCACTATCAGCATCTTGCCTTAAAATGTTTCAAGAAACATCATGAAAATATTGCCATCTTACTTTTGCAATAATGTTGAGGAAGCAGTATCCTTTTCTCATTATTCACTATCTTTCTCTGGCATCCAGCAAGTTTTGTTTCTCCTGATAAGCTGATTTGTTTTTATGTGAGGTACACTGTCAACACTATTCTTGATTCTTGCTTTTTTTTTTTTTTTTTTTTTTTTTTTTGAGACACAGTCTCACTCTGTTGCCCAGGCTGGAGTGCAGTGGCGTGATCTCAGTTCAGTGCAACCTCCGCCCCCCGGGTTCAAGCAATTCCCCTGGCTCAGCCTCCCAAGTAGCTAAGATTACAGGCACCTGCGACCACACCTGGCTAATTTTTTTTTGTATTTTTTAGTAGAGACGAGGTTTCACCATCTTGGCCAGCCTGGTCTTGAACTCCTAACCTCGTGATCCACCCGCCTCAGTCTCCCAAAGTGCTGGGATTACAGGCGTGAGCCACCACGACCAGCCAAACCCTTAGTTCACCTACAGCAATTGCTCAGAGCCTCATGATGGACAATCATTTCATGCACTACTAACTTTATTCTTGATTCTTTTAGCTTTGTTTTGGCCAAACCCTTAGTTCACCTATAGCAACTGTTCAGAGCCTTATAATGGGCATTTATTTCATGTACTACCAACTTTATTCTTACTTTTACTTTCCTATTCTTATTTTCCTTTTACATAAAATTCCTCCTCCACTTATTTAATCCTATTTTATTAAGTGTTTATTTCATTAAGCTGCCTCAAATTCTTTCTTGAATCAAGAGATAATGGTGATATTTCAGAGAAAGCTACTGGAGCCTTAGGCCAATTCATATTAGCTCCTGAGAGTGAATTGCATGCATCCCTTTGAAACTTTGTGTTCAGTTACTCCATGTTGGTAGCTGAACTATGATGAGAATCTACACTCCACAGATATCAGCAAATGCTACAAATCTTATCTTTTTAACCTTGGAGAGTCAGTTTACCAACACACTGCTGTGGATGTGTTTGATTTTGATTCCAAACTTCAGAGACACTGTAGGTATTACCACATATAATTACAGATTCCCATTAGTATTGTCTTAGGTAGGCTTGGACTATTTAACAATCTTCTAATAGACTAGTAAAACTACCCAGCTAAATTGCAGTCATGAACAAGTAAGTAATTATTGTTTTAATTCTCTAAGTTTTGGGGTTTGTTTGTTTTTTTTGTTTTGTTTTTGTTTTTTGTAACACAACAAGAGATAATAGAAACACCACCACTGTACTTAAAACTCTTCATCCCAAAGTTTCCGCTGATGTGCTCGTGTAAAACTAAAAGGTCTCATTCTTCTTATCCTCTACTATAGCACTTTAATGATTTATAAACAAGTTTTTCTTAATATTTTGCTATTTGTTTTTCGTATCTTTGTACTTCTGTTTGCACCCTTACATCTTCATAGCTACCCCTTCCTCTTTCGTTTTTGTTGGTTATTGTTCCTTAAATGTGAGTGTTGCTACTAACCTTAATCTTTTTTTCTATTTTTATTTGGCTCCAACAAATACAATGAATATAAAAGTCTCTAAAATCTGCCTCTTTCACTCATTGTTCTGCCTTCTAACTAACAGGCTTGCTACTCGTTAGCTATTTAGCCATTACCTCAAATTCATCTCACACATGATCTTTGTAAGCAGACACTACCTCCCTGCTTGAGAGCAAGGTAAAAAGGTTGAAAACATTCCTGCCTTTGTTGTGACTTGCAAAAGAAAATGGGTTCCACATTAGGAAGGAGGAAAGAAACCAGAAAAAAAATTCTGAAAGTGGCAGTACAGAAATCAAAATCCCTGTCTATATATTGATGAGTGAAAGAATAAATGGAAAAAAAGGAAATAAAAAGGAATTTCAAATACTGGTTCCATATAATGTTTTTCCTATTGAGGTAAAATCAAAAGCTGGAGAAGCAGCTTAACATTACACAACACACTCAGGAAGTTCTGCAAGAGTTTCAAAGTATTTGGTGACTCCTTGAATGCAATGGCTGAATGCAATCTAACAGGATCTTTTAGAAATACACTTTCTTGCTGCTGTGTTTTCCTGCGAAAAGAAATGATAAATCTAACCAAATTTATCCAATCCTCCTACATCAAGTGCTATTCATCACTGATAACCCAGGTAGGAAAAAAAGGACACTGCAGGGAAAAAAAACAGCATAATCATAAGAGATGATAAAGTTAGGGGCTATGTCTTGCAAACTATCAGATTCTTAGCGCAGTGCTTGGCAAACAGGGACAAAACAGGTATATTTGAGTGCAAGTCTCATCAAGAAACAAACTTCACCAACACAGACAGTACTTTCATCTCTTCTTCAACAGCTGAAGATATGAAGAGAAATTAAGATATAAATAAATGAAAATGTGGCTACACAGATGATAAGAAAATTTTTTACTGGATCATGGATGAAGATGTGGGAATTTGGGACTTCTGGTTAGGAAGAACATGTTTCTCAGAGATCTACTGATTTACTCAAGAACATATGAATTAGAAAATGGAGAGACACAAGAAAAATGTTCTCATGTTAAAGACACCAAAAAATGAGAGAAAAGAAACAGGTAGAGGGGCAGAGAAAGCATTGCATCACCTCTGCTTCCCTCAAGATCCAACTTTTGGGGAGGTCAGAGTTGCAACAACTTAAAGCAAAGGCCAACTGACTGAATACTTGGAAGCACACTTCTGAGTAGAGTTCTCCTTTAACACATCAGCTAAAAACCACGTGAGCTCATTTTTAAACATATAAGGAAAACATCATCTGCACACATTATGAACATTTGCTACTGACAGAATATACTAAGTCCTAAAACAGGGATATAATAAAATGCCTATGCATATGGCATTAATTGATTTCTGTTTTAGAACCTTGATCATTAAGATGCCAGAAAAGCTATAGCTATAATCCTAGGATTTAGCTAGAAAACTCATAGCCAAAGCTCTCTTGTGAGTAAACAATGGATCCTCAAACAAGAAGAATATGTTATAGAATCTAATTCAACAGTGCATTAATAGTCTAGATCAAGTGATGGCCTAAAATGTTTCAGGGAACTATTAAATTATACTTTAGGGACTCCATATGATGTAACTCATCCCCATAAACCTTCTCCACTAGCATCCTTCACCTTCTACTAACCCTTCAGATGTCACCTAAAATGTTTATTCCTATTTAATTACTTGTTTGTCTTTCTGACTAGATCATAAACTCAGAAGGCAGAGATTGAATCTGTCTCGCTTGGCAAACAATTTATGTTCAATATATGTTTGTTGATTAAGAGATGTAAGTATTGAACACAGCATAGTGGGCTTCAAACCAAGAAATGCTAGGATATTTTGTTGCTAAGAGAATGACTTTATCCTCTCTTCCTGTTGCCTAATATACATGATCTGATGATAAAACCTTATTTCTATATTCCTATTACCTCTTCAAATCTGCATAGAAAAGCCTTCACCTAAAAGCAGAACTAAATTTCAAGATTTTATCAGAATTTCGGCTACATTACTAATAAGTCTAGAATAGTTTTTTTAAAAAAAGAATTTCAGCTATAATCAAAAAATTCATGGAGACTTCAAATTTTATTCATAGCCAACTGCTCTTAAGACGTATGTCTTTTTCTATTAGATTGACATTCAAAAATGGACTCTATCTTCCAAATATACTTGTCTCAAAACAGTACTTTTAATTACTGTACACTTTCAGTTCTCTTAGATGTATTTTTTGAAAGAATTAAACACTAATGACTAACAGTATTTTTTAAAAAATATCTTCTATTCTTAATAATGGCTGTTGACGTAAGAAAAATAAGGGAAGCTAGGCCCAAAGTTAGAGCTACAGAAAAAACAAAGGCCAAACAAACAAAATAAACAATAAACTTGCAAATCTTGCAAAGTAAAAGTATTTTAAAATTCAACCAAAATGTCACAGAACCTAAATATGTAAGCATCTCTGGTAAATTTGGGATTAATCCCTAGCAAATGTTTAGAATGAATTAACAGAGAGGTAGTTTCATCTCTAGGAGCCACCGGGGATTTACAACAACAAAGCAAGATAATCTTTATGTCACTGTTTTGATAGAAGAAATATTTTATAACTTAAGAGTTTCAAGAAACACCTGACAGGGTCTTCCTTGAGATTCTCAAGTGGATATGAAAATAAGATAATAGTAAAGATGAAGGATCATAATTGTTGAATAGCAACAAACAATGCTGATAAAAGGTTCAGGTTAACAGATCTCTAGAGGTTTCTACAGTTGGCCTTATGCTCCTCAACATAAATTATTAACAACTGATACAAAACACATCCAGCATACTTAATTTGCAGATAATACAAGCTGTTCTTATCAGGTGCTAATATACAGAATCACTAAATGAGATTTTGAGAATTCTATAAAACAGAATAAGCCAAAGTTAATTAGATAAAATGTAGTATTTCTAGTTTTTTTTTCAATGCATTAACTACACACATACAATTGCACCTGAAAAAGTACAGCCTAAGAGGCATTTTGTTTAATGGTATTATATGTGAAAATAGCTTAGGCTTCAGTTGCCTACAATCCAGTAATGAAATGTGGTTGCTAAAATAAAAATTCACTTCTGGTGTTACAAATTACAGGAAACAGAAGGAAAAATAGGAAAGCAAAAGGTCTGGAAACCATGACAAATAAAAGGAACAGCAAAATAAACCAAATATATTTAAACCTGGAAAAAAAAAACATGAAGAATATGATAGTACTCCTCCAATATGTAACAGGTTACAACATAAAAGGAAGAAATATCTTTATATATGGCTCTAAGAAGAATAACTAGTATTAAGTAGATGTTACTGAAGAAGATTTTAATTCTTTTATAAAGAATGAGCTACATAAAAGGACTGGATTGTGATTTAGTAAATTTATCAAAAGAAATACTAACAGTTTAACAAAAAATGGGTGTGGGAGACTGAACTTAGTGATTTTTTTCATCACTTTTAATGTTATAGCTTAAATAAAAGGCAAATGACAAAGGGTAAGATAGGAAAACATGGGATTATTTCAAAGAGGGAAAAAAAGAAAATAAGTATTAGAATTGACAAATGTGGAGATATTTAGATTAATTATAATAAAAATAAACTTCAAGTGAAAAATATACAAGGTAAATATAAAAAAAACAATTTTACCTAGGAAAGTATCATAATACACAGGGAGAAAGGACATGAGGTTAACTGGGACAATCTGCACTGCTAGCATGTGAACATGGACAACAAAAAGGAACTAAAAATAATATTGCATATCCAGGTCAGCCCAACTAAGTTATAGTAAGAATATTCTTGCAAGTAAAGTACAGGATGAAAACAAGTTGGATGTAGAAGGATAATTAGTTTGAAGTAGTTCAAAGTTCCATAAGATTAACTCAAAAGGCTTAGAAGAGATTTAATTAAATGTGTGTGTATGTATGTGAGCACAAAATGGGAAATAAGCAGTTGAATTTAAAAATGTAGTAAAATCACTATAGACAAACCAATAATGATCATTAAAATAGGAAAAATTAATCTAAAAGTATGAACAAAAAGGAAAAAATTAATTTTTTTTAATGAGGGCATAATTATTTTAACCTGTTATTTATACTTATAATAATATTTTACGTCTTTTTCAAAATTTCAATTTATACTAGAAAACTTAATTTTAACACGTGGCTAATTATCCCAGCTTAAGTGACTGATAAGTGCAGAACCCCGTGTCTCAGTCCTCTTTTGAAAAAAAGCCAGGTGCTGCAATATTTGTGACATTTAAAGCAAAAACTGGTATCTGAAATAGGTAAAATAATTACTTTTCCCATTTATTGTTTAAAATATGACCTCCATTCACTTTTTTGCAAGATTATCTTATGTAACTATTCTGAAAACAGGAAGGGAAAATAGAAAAAATTTTCATAGTTCAGCCCAAGTAGTTAAGGAATACTTGAAAATGGAGTTTTCCCAGAACAAACTTTTTCTTGATCAAAGAACTTTACTTTCAAAGCTAAATAACTTGAAAGAAAGAAAGAAAGAAAGAAAGAAAGAAAGAAAGAAAGAAAGAAAGAAAGAAAGAAAGAGAAAGATAGATAGATAGCTAGATGCAGGCATTAATAAAGTCATATGCTCTGTTTCATTCAATTTACCCCATATTTTAGTCTACCAACTTTATTTTTAAATTACCCCAAATATTAAAGGTATGAGCTCTCAAAGGATGAGTGAAGGATATTGGAGATCCTAAGACAGGAGCATCACGTTACGGCTCAACCACATTTCATCTCAAGATCTTAGAGTTTTGGCCATTAAGAGGCCCAAAGCAGGTCAACAGAGAGAAGATGCTCGCCCCCAAAATTTCTGTTTTTGAGGATAAAAAATAAGACTAATTCACTAATAACTATCTTTAATAACTTCATTACAAGCTTTCAAGTAAGAACCTCAAGCTTCTTTTACTCATGCTTTGTTAAAAAGTTTTCATAATCAGTTTCCAAAGATACTTTCTTCTTCTTTAATGAAAATCATTATTGGATATGGATTTAAGTCATACACATCCCAAAAACAGGTCGTAAGGGCAGAGCACAGTGGCTCATGCCTGTAATCCCAGCACTTTGGGAGCCTGAGGCAGGTGGATCACTTGAAGTCAGGAGCTCGAGACCAGCTTGGCCAACATGGTGCAACCCTGTCTCTACTAAAATATAAAATTACCTGGGCGTGGTGGTGCACACTTGTAATCCCAACTACTCAGGAGACTGAGGCAGGAAAATTGCTTGACCTGGGAGGTGGAGGTTGCAGTGAGTTGAGATCACACCACTGCACTCCAGCCTGGGTGACAGAGCAAGACTCCGTCTCAGACAAAAAAAAAAAAAAAAAAAGAAAGAAAAAATTTTAAGGGTCTTAGATGGTATCTGGCTAATTTTGGATATGTCTGTGCATGTGAGCATTCATTAGTGCT
This sequence comes from Homo sapiens, assembly GCF_000001405.40. Classification (NCBI taxonomy): domain Eukaryota; kingdom Metazoa; phylum Chordata; class Mammalia; order Primates; family Hominidae; genus Homo; species Homo sapiens. The sequence goes on along the minus strand of NC_000012.12, from coordinate 42,377,221 downwards.
TAGAGTAGGGGTGTCCAATCTTTTGGCTTCCCTGGGGTGTGCTGGAAGAAGAATCATCTTGGGCCACACATAAAAGACACAAACAGTAACAATAGCTGGTAAGCTTAAAAAAAAAAATCGCAAAAAAGCCTCATGTTTTAAGAAAGTTTACAAACTTGTGTCAGGTTGCATCCAAACCCATCCTGGGCTGCACGCGGCCTGCAGGACGGGGGTTGGACAAGCTTGGCTTACAGATTGTTTATCTTCTTAAGGTTTTTTTTATGTGGTAGGGATGGGGTATATAGAAGCAAAAGAAAAAATACTTGTATACTTGTTAACATTAATCTCCACAATAAAACTTTCAGTTACCCAGAACTGTCCCAAGCACATTTTGGACAATCAGATATATATATGGAAGTGGCTTATTTATTTACTTATTTATTTATTTATTTTTAGAGACATAGTCTCGTTCTGTTGCCCAGGTTAGAGTGCAGTGGCGTGATCACAGTTTACTGCAGGTTCAACCTCCTGGGCTCAAGCAATCCTACCTCAGCCTTCTGAGTAGCTGAAAATACAAGCATACATCACCATACCCAGCTAATTTTTAAATTCTTTTTTGAGAGACAGGGGTCTCACTATGTTTGCCCAGGCTGGTCTCAAACTCCTGGGCTCGAGTAATCTTTCCACCTTGGCTTCCCAAAGTGCAAGGATTACAGGCATGAGCTGCTGTGCCCAGCCTGTGTTTGTTTTAAATCCTTAAAATAACCTTCTTATCTCCTGCATCATCATTAATATACCTGTATCCAAAAATATGTTTTTTGGGAAGCCCCACTCTATCTATCTCTGCAAAGAGTAGACAATAAATGTTTGCTAAACTCAAGAATCTTGCAACAGCTTCAAGGGAAGACAATCTGATGACTCCAAATGGTTTTCCATCACTTTCATCATGTAAGAGGCAAAGGCTGTTAAATTAAAACTCTTATTATTTGAAAAAAAGACAGTTAATGAGAAGGACGTTGAAAAGGAAATATCCTGGACTTTTCTGATTTCTGCACCTTGGCTCATAATTCCTTCTAACTAGAAGACAATTCTTTACTTGTAGAAATCTGAAATAAGGCTGAGCCCAATGTCATCTCCTTTATGACATGTTCTTACATCCTCAGAGTGTGAATTAATTTTTCTCACCTTGACATGCTCATGTCAACTCATTTATGACATATCAATTATTGTATCAAAGTTATATATAAACATATTGATAAAGTTGGTATTAGCTGGTGAGAAATATAAACATATATTCTAGTTCCCTAGTGACAGGGACATCATTGTATAATATTAACACAGTGCCTTGCACATAGAAGGCACAAGGAACTGTTATGTGAACGAGCTCTACTGCAGGCTGCAGAGTCTAGAAAGATAAGAATGCTTTCTCTAGAAAAGTAGTTGTGTCATTAATTTATTCAAACACATACTAAGCAACTCAGCCAGCATGACATGCTAAGATTGTACAGAATGTCATGTAGGTTCAGGCATGACAAATTAAACATAAAAATAAAATAAAATAAAAATAAAAATAAAATAAAATTGGGGGTTGGAAAAGAGTAAGAGAGGTTTTCACTCTAAATTTTACAAGGCTGGCCAGGAGCAGTGGCTCACACCTGTAATCCCACCACTTTGGGAGGCAGAGGTGGGCGGATCACGAGATCAGGAGTTTGAGACCAGCCTGACCAACATGGTGAAACCCCGTCTCTACTAAAAACACAAAAATTAGCCGGGCATGGTGGTGCACACCTGTATTCCCAGCTACTCAGGATGCTGGGGCAGGAGAATCACTTGAATCCGGGAGGCGGAGACTGCAGTGAAACAAGATCGTGCCACTACACTCCAGCCTGGGAGACAGAGCGAGACTCTGAAAAAAAAAAAAAAAAAACCTTTTACATGCTGAAGAAATTAAAGGTAAGTGTCATGCAGAATGCCACTTCAAATAGTTTGAAAAAAATGTGTGTGTATGGTGTTTGTTATACTATTCTACCATCTTTTCTGTAAGTTTGAAATTTTTCAAAATAAAAAGTTTAAAAAATAAATCTCTTACACCTAGAAGGAAATCTGACTCAGTACATTCTCATCAGAGGAGACTGTGAGAGAAAAAAATAAAGTCTTAAAATACATACTTCTATGTTGAGACTGATGGAAAGAGTATGATTTGCTCCTTTCTGGAGAGTAGCTTCTGCTACTGACACTGGAACCAGATCTGCTGTGTGGAGAATCCTTTCGGCCAACAGGTGATTCTCTGAAAAAAGTATTGTCCCTTTTATAAGGAGACCGCTCTCTCGCATAATGGGAAGAGTAGAAACTTTTTCTTCTAAAGCCATCTCTCATGTCCCTTTGAAAAAAAAAAAAACATAAAATAAGTTAATTATACTCTATCCTCTATATACAAGCACAATGGCAAAAGCTCTGCTTATAAGCTACCCTTTAAATTGTACTCTTGGGGCCGGGTGCGGTGACTCACGCCTGTAATCCCAGCACTTTGGGAGGCCGAGACGGGCAGATCACGAGGTCAGGAGATGGAGACCATCCTGGCTAACACGGCGAAACCCCATCTCTACTAAAAATACAAAAAAAAAAAAAAAAAAAATTAGCTGGGCGTGGTGGCAGGTGCCTGTAGTCCCCAGCTTCTTGGGAGGCTGAGGCAGGAGAACAGCGTGAACCTGGGAGGCGGAGCTTGCAGTGAGCCCAGATCGCGCCACTGTACTCCAGCCTGGGCAACAGAGCGAGACTGTCTCAAAAATAAAGAAAAAAAAATTTGTACTCTTGGTTCTCTTTTTCTATCACTACCTAACTGTTGAAGTCAGCTAACAAAATGAAACAGTATCAGTGAAATATGATTTAGAATGTACCCTTTTTCAGTTTGGAACAGAACCAGGTGGCTAATGCAAAAGTTATTTTATTTTAGGCAAGCACAAATTCTAAAATGTAAAAAACATACTGTCATATAGTTTCCATTTCTCTTTGCCATTAACAATACACCACACAGCTACCACATTCTCAAAAACACTTAGAAATGCCAAAGATTTCCCAAGTAAGACATTTCATGGCCAATTATCCCCTTCTAAGTATAGAAACTACTGGTTTTCAAGGTATATGCAATTTGCCCACCCACCCCCAGGACAATGTGGCATTGTCTAGAGGTATTTTTGATTATCATAACTGGGGAGGAGAGTACCATTGATGGGTAGGGACCAGGAATGCTGCTAATTTCCTACAGTGCCCAGGACATGCCCCCCAACACTACACACCAAAAAACTCTTCAGTCCAAAATGTAAATAATGCCAACACTGAGAAACCCTGCTATATACCTATTAAATTCTTGCTGAGTGTGCATCCTCAGTACATAGATTGTTGCCCATCTCTAAATAACTACTTTTTATAAATCACCTCTACTTTTATAAATTAAATTTCTTTATTGAGAAATACCATCAACTCAAAGCACCAAGTAAGCCCTAGTAGTAAAACCTTATAAAGCAAAACCATTTTAAAATGTCAAACCAAATCAAAATTACTAAATGAAACCATCATCAACTAAGCCTCTAATAAAAGAACACTTAAGAGTCAAACAGGTTTTAATCCATGATTTAACAAATGTACTGCAACATTAAAGAATACTAAATTTCAGACAGAAGAGTGCTAAGAGACATACCAATAGCATACAATTTCAAGTGCTTGGAAAATCATTTCAGCATCTTGATTGGCAGTCCATAGGATATAAACAGGCTGTTGTCCTAAAGTTCATTTGAACACTAGCTGATTAATACCCCAAATATATTGTCCCTTCAGACACAAGTAAGTTTCCCTGGGAAAAAGCAGAAAATAGCTTAAATTCATTTATGGTAAATGAACTGGTATAGAACACTAATAATGAAATAGAGCATTAAGGAATTCTAGCACTAGTTTAGTCACTAAAACTACAAGGGTCATACCAACAGCACTGGTTAGCCAGAGTGGTGATATGGGTATTAAATAAACAGGTTTTAGAAATTGTGTGAGGTGCTGGGACCCAATGGTGAGCCAAATGTACACAGTCCCTGCCATCACAGAACTCTCGGTTTAATAGGAGAGGCTGACATTAGACAAATATACATAAAACATGTGAATGCAGTCAAGAATGGATGTAGAGAGACTAACGAGGAACCTAACTTAGTCCAGGCAAGAGACAGTGGTATCTTAGATGGGACAGGAGCAGGTGAGGGGTCACAAATTTTACATATACAAGAATATACCCTCTAGACTTAATGGGATGTAGTTAACGTTTTACTAATAAAGTGTGAAAGACGGGATGCCAAGCTGATTCCCATAATTCTGGCATGATAGATTAATGAAATGAGAAAAATAAATTTAAGAAATGAGGATGCAGGTGAGAGGTCCACATTTTGATGGGAGCATGTTATATTTAAGATGTTTGTGTAATATCTAGGTAAGCAACTAAAGATACTAGTCTCAAACTCAGAGGACATTTTTGGCTATCAATATAAATTTGTCTGTAAATAGGCAGTACTTAAAGCCTGGTATAGAGGAAAGCAAAGGAAAAAAAGAACAGCAGGCCTAGAACGTGGGGCTAAAAAAACTCTACCATGAAGAGAGAAATGGGCTGTCGAAGAATGGGAGAACAGAGAAACATTAGAAAGGAGAATGCATTTATCATGGAAGCCAAGGAAAGAGTATTCCAACAAGGAAAATAAAGGTTTCCTACATTGAAATTATATGAGCTCTTATTGGTAACTTGCTTACAGGATAGAGAGGAAAGATTGCCTACCTTCCTCTATTGAAGAGACAAAATGCTGAACTACAGTTTCCTAATCTGACACCAGATGGCAGTAAAATCACAGCAGTACAGAGCTATCAGTGGCCTAAGGTGGCAGGATACACTTGGGGGATGTCAAGTGTCAAATGTCAATAGCTCAGAGTAGAATAATGTCTCTTCTCCCCTTCACATCAATCCTTCTTCTGCTCCCCACCAATTTAAGCAAAAACATCACAACAGGCCTCAATTTTCATAAGTATCCTTTTTGATAAAGTGGTAATATTAGCCATTTTTTCAGATATGTGTGTGTGTATTATATAATGTATATAGTGTCCACCATATGAACAGCACTATAGGGAATTACTCTTGCTTTGAAGAAGCTAAGTATATTGGGAAGGGGGAGTAGGGTGAGAGGGGGTGAGGACCAAATGTTTAAGAAGGCTGGTACAAAGCTACAAAGGTAACTTTGTAAATAGATGGAAAACTGATCCAGGTCTTAAGGAAAGATGAGATTTAGATTAATATTATCTAACAGAAATATAGCCAAGCCACAGAAGAAGTAGTCATATCTAAAGTAAAGAGAAACAGGTCAAATTAATTTTAGCATTTTATTTTACTTAACCCAATATATCCAAAGTATTACCAACATGTAATTGGCATTAAAAAAATTTGGTAAGCTATTTTACATTCTCTTTTTCAACCTAAATATTAAAAATCCAGTGTGCATTTTATGCTTACAGAATATTTCAGTCTAACCTGACGATATTTCAAGTGCTCAAAAGGTACATGCGGTTAGTAGCTCCCATATTGGACAGCATAGATTTAGATGGTGGGAAAAGCATCACAAACTTTAGAAAAAGCAGTAACAGATTAAAGTACTATGTGAACAAGAACTGAAGTAGTTAGAACAGTAAGACCTTAAAAAAGCAGTGAGTAAAAAGCAAAGGTAGAAAACTTTTAAAAAGAGAAATGATAGTATCAAACACTGCAAGTCTCGAGGAGACTATGCATTTAAGACCTAGGAGTTGGCCGGGTGCAGTGGCTCATGCTTACAATCCCAGAATTTTGGGAGGCAGAGGTGGGAAGACTGCTTGAGCCCAGGAGTGTAAGACCAGCATGGGCAACATAGAGAAGCCTGTCTCTACAAAAAATTAAAAAATAGCTGAGCGAGGTGGCACCCACTGGTACTCCCAGCTATTCAGGGGGCTGAGGCGGGAGGATCACTTGAGCCCCACAGGAGAGGCTGCCGTGAGCCATGATCGTGCCACTGCACTCCAGTGTATGTGACAGAGCAAGACTCTGTCTCAAAAAAAAAAAAAAAAAAAAAAAAAAACACCAGGCTGGGCGAGGTGGCTCACGCCTGTAATCCCAGCACTTTGGGAGGCCGAGGCAGGGCGGATCACTTGAGGGCAGGAGTTCCAGACAGGCCTGGCCAACATGGTGAAACCCCATCTCTATTAAAAATACAAAAATTAGCTGGGTGTGGTGGTGTGTGTCTGTAGTCCCAGCTATTCGGGAGGCTAAGTCAGGAGAATTGCTTGAATCCAGGAGGCAGAGATTGCACTCCAGCCTAGGCAACAGAGTGAGACCCTGTCTCAAAACAAAACAAAAAACACCTAGAAGTCATTTGATCTGTCAGTCCAAGAGTCCAGTAAAATTCTGGAAACCAAAGCAGATTGCAAGAAATTAAGATATAGCTAGTGAAGAAGTTAAAAGCTGTAACTTTTCTTCCAAAACAGGCTGAAGGAGGGAAGATGGGAAGGAATGGTATTTTGAGGAAAGGGGCTTATTTGACCACTACTGAAGGCTGATAGAAAAAAGCCAATTCACTATAAAAGGGGAAACTGATAACGCAAGACACAAAAATGTTAATGGTAAAGAAGGAGCCAAAAGTCAACTGGAGAAAGTGAGACAAAGGGACTAAGTAGAAGAGAAGAATATGAAAAGAATAAATAGAAAAACTCTTATTTCAAGAAAATAAAATACAACAGAGTTCTCATCAAAAGGCCTTTGTCTCAGTAATTACAGAAGTCATCAAAAAAGTAAAGAAAGAATGTGAATGGAGGCTTTATGCAAATTAGAAAGTTTTACTGATCCTCTGGGGCAAAGTATTAATTAGAGCAATCCTTCTCAAAATGTACGTCCATAGACCTACCTGCCTCAGCATTTGCAGGAAAGGTGATAGAAATGCAAATTCATGGGCATCAACCCTCACCAGCTGAATCAGAATCTCTAAGGGTGTGACTCAGGATTCTGCATAAGGCTTTCCAGGTGATTCCTATGCACACGAAATGTTAAAAAGGACTGAATTAAAGAAGCTCACTAGCATGTAAGGGCTGTATGTAAGTGAACCGTTCAGAAGTCAGAAAGCAGAAATTCAGAGTTCATGATAACGGCAAAACAATTCCCAGTGATGAAAGTAAGGCCTGGCCATGCCTGTGGATATATAAAGTTGAAAAATACAAGAAACAACTAGAGTTAAACATGGCATTAAATCACGATACAGAGGCAGATTGGATAGAGAAGATTGTGAGTCAGAAATTGTAATCATCAAGGAAGAAGGAATGGTCTCCTGGAAATTCATCAGAGAATACAATAAGACAGGGTGGTGTAAATGAGGACGTTCAAAGTTGACGTGGAAACAGAGGCTTGGAGAAAGTAATGAGGAGGAAGAAATATGCCCGAACTCATCTCAAGAATCAAGGAATTAGGAGGCAAGTAAGTTGGGGGGAAAGTTTCAAATCTCATTGCATTCCTTAACAACTGGATGACCTTGACCAAGTTATTTAATCTCCCTACGCTTTAGTTCCCTCAACTATAAAGTGGGGATAATAATAATACCTACTTCACAGAGTTGATGTGAGGAATAAACAAAATAATATATGTTAAAAATTTAGAACAGAACCTGGCATATAGCACTCAAAAGATGTTAGCTATGTCTATTTACCCTATACCCTGGTATTACTTCCATTAAACCAGTAAAAGGTTTGCAGCAAGAAAGAGCCAGGCATGCCAATACAAGTGCCTGATAGTTGTATGTCATTCAGGAAAGCAAAACTATGGAATCTTGCATGTCTCTAAGAGTTTAAAACCAAGCCATAATAAAGCTTCTAGAAAAAGACTTCAGCTTGACTTCCCAGGGAACTTACTTTACAGAGGATGAAATGCCGAGAACTTCAGTAAAAGAATCTTTATGCAGATAAAACATATGAAGTAAAGTAGGCAAAAATGCAGCTCACTAAACTAGGGGTCAGAAAATGTTTGCTCTTTCAAAAGCCAAATAATATTTTAGGCACTGTGGCTATATGGTCTCCATCACATCTTCTCAACATTCCTCTGACACACAACAGCAGCCACGGATAACATATAAAAAATAGGCGTGGCTGTGTTCCAATATAATTTTATTTACAAAAACAGACAGCTGACCAGATTTGGCCTATGGGTTGTAATTTGTCAACCTCCAATCTAAATAATTACGCACGTCCTGAAAGTTTTCAAGCACAATTTATTAAAGAAGAAAGAGGCTACCTACAGCTTCATATTTCCCACAGAATATCAAGAAAGGTACGGACTTTTTCACCCCATCTTTTACCAATATCTTAAAATTTTTGTGCTTTAAAAGTTTAATTGTATTTTGGAAAGAAAAATTAAATAATGATAGAAATGTTTTGGCTGGTTCATATTTTGTTCTCTACCAGAGATCTGACAAAAAGCCTTTCTTAAAATATGTTGCATAGAACACTAATCCACAAAATATTAGTATTTCCCATTCTACTACAAAACATAAAAGGGGGTTCTGTGAGTAAATAACTTTGAGAAACACATTTACTTAGAGTTCCACATCTCAGATTACTCCTTAATGGCAGATACAGATTCAACAATTAATTCATCTACTTATATATGGCCTTTTGACCTTATTATAATTAACCTCTCTGAGCTTCATTTTCCTAACCTCTCCAGACATAGCAATTCTGACATGAATGGTATCTATATTACAATTTCAGGTTTTAGTCTTTTCATCATCAGTTATCTCATTTTTAACCTTACATGAATACATGGACTCTCAAGCTTTAAAATATTTTATATAACTGAGACAATTTGGGGAGGACAGCAATCAATTCTTATTATAACGCATATCATGATAAATTCAGGTGAATTGAAAAGCTAAATGTTTGGATGGAAAAGACAGAATAAAAAGATCCCCCACCCACCCAAAACAACTGTAAGAAAAAAAAATTTGTAAGTATGCAGGAAGAGCCATTTTGTATCAAAATACCAAGTATAAACTATATACAGAAAGGCCTCTAAGGTGAAAATTAGAATTAGATTTAAAGTACATTTCCAATTAAAAGAGAAAATTTCAACATCAATGCCAGTCTTAAATATTAATATTTAATAATTTATTTTTGGCTGGGCACAGTAGCTCACACATGTAATCCTACCACTTCGGGAGGCCGAGGCGGGATGGATCACTTGAGTTCAAGGAGTTCGACACCAGCCTGGCCAACATGGTGAAACACTGTGTCTATTAAAAATACAAAAATTAGCCGGGCATGGTGGTGCACACCTGTAGTCCCAGCTGCTCGGGAGGCTGAGGCAGGAGAATGGCTTGAATCCAGGAGGCGGAGGTTACAGTGAGCCAAGATCACGCCACTGTACTCCAGCCTGGAGGAACAGAGCGAGACTCTGTTTCAAAAACTTAATAATAATAATGATTTACTTTTAATCTTTTAATGAATGCTAGCAAAACCACTAAGAATAAGATGAACACACTAATAAAAAACAGACAAACGATACGAAGATAATTCAATGGAAGATAGACGAAAAATATCACCTCACTAAATATTAATATTTAAGATAACAAAGTTAAAATAAGTTTTCTCTATTAAATAGGCAAATGATCTCCTCTAATCAGTTACTGTGCCAAAGAATTACATCTAGGAAAGGGTTTTGTTTAGATATAAGGTAAGACATAAGGTTGCTTAGTTTGACCTTTCCATGGTGTCTTAATTAAAAAAAAAAAGAAACTAAGACTTTGATTTTTCATTTTTACCTGATTTATCATAAATTGTGTTTTTATACTAGGGGATAAAAATTTAACAGAAATAGGACTCAACTGTTTTGTAAAACTAACATCATGTGCACTAGTACCTAAGAGTATTCACAGAGTACTCACCATTATTCATAGTAGCTGTATATGTACCTCTGTTAGTGTTGGAAGGAAAATTAAACAGTAATAAACATCAAGATACCCTTTCTCATTTACGGATTAGTGGAATTCTTTTATAATCTCTCCTTTTTTCCCTGAGATAGAAACTCTCATGGTTGACATTTGAAAACTAGTGCAAACTATGTTCAACAGTTAATTGTGATGAGAAGAATGAGAAAGAATTAAAAGCATTCTGCAACATTTTGTGAAACTGAGCCTAAAAAAGCCAGGTATTTACAGACATGAATGTATGGCTGTGTACAGAGAGAGAAAAAAAACTTGTTCATGAAGATAAGAAAGGCGTTCTGACAGTCATATTTGCAGTCCTATCTAATATTTTATCTCTGTGTGGACCCTAGAAGTTTAACCTTGATTTATGGGCCAGAGTAGTATTTCCCTTTTTAGGACCATTAAATCCCTAGTGATTTCTAGCCAAACCCAAGTGTTGCATATTATTCATGATAAAGCTTAAGGAGACACTTAATCTTTAAAAATATTCACTCAGCCTCCAGGAAAGTTCTAAAACCTGTGTTTAAAATGCCAACTCACTGGGGCACGGTGGCTCAGGCCTGTGATTCCAGCACTTTGGGAGGCTGAGGCAGGCAAATTGCTTGAGCCTAGGAGTTAGAGACCAGCCTGGGCAACACAGGGACAGGGAAACCCTGTCTCAAAAAAACAAAAACAAAAACAAAAACAAAAAAAAACAAGAAAGGCCAGGTGCAGGCTCACACCTGTAATCCCAGCACTTTGGGAGCCGAGGAGGGCAGATCACCTGAGTTCAGGAGTTCCAGACCAGCCTGGCCAACATGGTGAAACCCCGTCTCTACTAAAAATACAAAAATTAGCCAGGCATGGTGGCGTACGCCTGTAATCCCAACTACTCAGGAGGCTGAGGCAAGAGAATCACTTGAACCTGGGAGGTGAAAGCTGCCGTGAGCCGAGATCGCACCACTGCACTCCAGCCTGGGCGACAGAGTGAGACTCTGTCTCAAAAAAAAAAAAAAAAAAAAAGTGTCCGGTACTAGTGGTTAGCTGTAAAAACCACTCAGTATCAACTAGTATAATTTTCTTTGTGCAAGTATCATCTCGATTTTAAGGATTTTTTTGTTGTTTTATCCATAACCCTGAAGCATGCTAAATAGAGAAACAGTATATTAAAGTCTGGACATATTTTTAATACTGTTCCATAAATCACCAGGTAAAAACTGCAAGTAAGACAAAGGTCCATTTACCATGGAGAGAAAACTTACAACAAAAGCTTTCAAAACTATAGGTTTCTAGCTATGTTGGAAATGAAGGTATCAACATATATGATACAATGCATTCAATACAATGAACTATACGATGAATCAAAAAGGGCCTTTGAAGAAATATAAATAACAATACAACCAGGATTATGAGGCCTCCAAAAAACACATCTGACGAAACTGATGCTTTTTATTATCAAAGAGTACACAGCCTGAGAGTTAGGACAGTGTCTTTGGCTATATCGCAAACACTCCAGCTATACTGGCTGGCATATAAAAGACGCAAAGTCATCAGGAGAATGGAGGAAGGGAAGAACTAACACCCCATAAGGCACTGTCTCTCAAAATGTGGTCCTTGAACCATCTGTGATTGCAGATTACTTTAGATGCTTATTTGAAAAGCAGATTTTTGAAGCTCAGATTCTCCTGTTAATACAAATCCCCAAGGTAATTCCCGCCCCTCACATCAGTCAAACCAGGTAAGCGGTGATAGAACCCTCAGTGTCAGCAGACATATGTTCACCGGTTATGAGTAAAATTCGACAAAGTGGGAGAAAGGGATACAAGGGAAGGGAAGAATGGGGAGATGGAAAGCATTTACTTCTTATTCTGAACCTCATTTTTCTCTCCTTCCCACATCCAAATATACACAAATATTCATATAAAATATTGGCTACTTCCTTTCTAGTCAATAGGGACTTCCAAAAAGAATTACGATTTCAAGAATTATTTTGAGAAAGCAGCCAGGTAATTAGCAAGGCAAGCTTAAGAATAAGTGAAGTACAACCTCAAATATCTTTTATTTTAAATGTGGAAACGGAAAACCACAGACACTGCGACTTAAGCTGAGGAATTTTCCATATCACCTCTTCTTCTATCCTATCAAAAAATCAAACACCTGTCTGCCTGCTTGAGTTCAGATTAGAAGTTTGGTGGTCAAGTTCAAGGCTGTTTCCACAAAATCACATGTTTACAGTTAAAAGCATTCTAGAAAAAGTAGAACAAACGAAAGTATTCCAGGCATAAGATATGGACTAAGAGATCTTCCAACTAGAACTTTGTTTGTTTTTTTAAGGCGGAGTCTCCCTCTGTCGCCCACGCTGGGGTGCAACAGCACGCCTTCGCCTGCAAACTCCGCCTCCCAGGTCCAAGTGATTCTCGTGCCTCAGCCTTCCGAGCAGCTGGGATTACAGGAGCATGCCACCATACCCAGATAATTTTTGTACTTTTAGTAGAGATGGGGTTTCCCCATGTTGGCCAAGCTGGTCTCAAACTCCTGACCTCAGGTGATCCACCCACCTCGGGCTCCCAAAGTGCTTAGATTACAAGCATGAGCCACCTGCCTGGCCTTTTTAAAAATTTTTTGAGACAGAGTCTCACTCTGTCACCCAGGGTGGAGTGCAATGGTGTGATCACAGCTCACTGCAGCCTCAACCTCCCAGGCTCAAGCAATTCTCCCACATCAGCTTCCAAAGGTACCAAGCGCATGCCACCACATCCAACTTATTTTTTAATTTTTTTTGTAGAAATGGGGTCGCCTTATGTTGCCCAGGCTGGTCTCGAACTTCTGGGCTGAAGCTATCCTCCCACTTCAGCCTCCCAAAGTACTGGGATTACAGGTGTGAGCCACCACACCCAGCCCCTAGCATTTAAAAGTAAAGTATATTGGCCACTTGATGACACTCTTGTTCCATATTTTTCAACATTATATAATACTTCAAATCAGTTCCATCCTAAGATTTATTACTATTATTATTTTATTTTGAGACAGAGTTTTGCTCTTGTTGCCCAAGCTGGAGTACAGTGGTGCAATCTTGGCTCACTGCAACCTCCGCTTCCCAGGTTCAAGCAATTCTCATGCCTCAGTCTCCTGAGTAGCTGGGACTACAGGCACGTGCCACCATGCCTGGCTAATTTTTGTATTTTTAGTAGAGACAGGGTTTTGCCATGTTGGCCAGGCTGGTCTCAAACTCCTGGCCTCAAGCGATCTGCCCACCTCAGCCTCCCAAAATGCTGGGATTACAGGTGTGAGCCACTGAGCCCGACCGCTAAGGTTTATTATAAGATCTCATAACTACAGGGGGAAAAAATGACCTGAAAACAACCTCATTCTAAGTCACTAACTCTTGGTAGAGTATAGCATGTTTCTTTGATACAAAATGAAATAAATCCTGATATATTCTGAATTTCATCTATAAGTATGTTTTGAAAAAATAGACAATATAATCATTGTGTAAATACAGAAACAAGACGAGCAGGTGATGACACACTTGAAATGTAGATAACTTCACCAGGCATGCCCAAATATGAAAGTGATCACTTTCAGAGCGGGGCAGGGCAGTGGGGAGTGGGCATCAGGGAAAATGACAGAAAACTTGACACATTCTCTTTTCTTCCATTAGCTGTTATTTAATCTAGTTGCTTCCAATGATTCCACGCTTCCATTAGTAAAACACATTTGAATATAAACCACTAATACACGTATACTAGATTTATAAAGTATGTTCCACAGCATGAAACACATAACAAAATGAAAAAAAAATAGCTAGAGTATAAAGTTCCACTGCCAGTAATAGGCCTGTGGAAGATGGTGTGAATGCAAGGTGGCCCTGTAACACCCACCCAGTGGTGGCAAACTACAAAAAAAATTTTTTTTTAAATTAATTAATTAATTTTAAAAAAGGTGCTGGAGAGAGCAATAAGAAAGACTCATGGGGTCAGGATAATAATCACATTTAGGGGTGTGAACAAACACAGTGATGATACTGGTGTCAGGTCTGGAATTTGACTTTGCCTTACCTACAAGGTTATAAATTAAGACTGTTACTGTTTCCTGGATCCTAGCAGACTTCTGGGTCAGAGAAAAAACTTTATCACTCATAGCATAGCAACACAAGCATTGGCATGTTTGTGTCAGTTCTCTCTGGTACCAAGTCCAGGGGTAACATGATATAAGCCTAGATAAATGTGGCACATGCAGTGGGTGTGGGTCACAACTGAGGAACACTGAACTTAAGGAACCCACCATTTTTACACCAAGCAATAAGCAAGCCTGCTGTTTGACAAACAGGGAGACATTACTCTGGCCTTCAAGATTGCTCATTACAAACACATCTCTGAGAACTACCCTGAATAATGAGTGACCAGGGTCTTGCATATCTTGGCAAGATGTGCAGGAGTGCAAGACACCCATGGAGGACTGTCTCTCCTAACAACTGGGAGCCAGATTTCCCACAGATGGAAAAAGGAGATAAAAGTATGCAATAAAAGAAAAGGTAATGCCATGATCTCATAGTCATGAATACACATAAACACTGTATAAAAATAAATGCAGAAGTAAAAGTCTGTGTGTGTGTCTGTGTGTTCAGATTCTTAGCTTCAAAAAATCACTCTCCACTATAGAAGGCCCGTGCTCCTTGGAGAAACACCTGAATTTAGAGTGAGGCAGAGAAGCCTAAGAAGAGACTGAAACATCTTGTGTCAGAAAGAGGTGACCAAAGAATGACGTGGACATGTCAAAACAACACAGATGACCTTGGTTTGGCAACGGATTCTTAGATATGACACCAAAAGCATGAGTAACAAAAGAAAAAAATTAGATAAATTGGACTTCATCAAAATTTAAAATGTGCATCAAAGAATATTATCAATAAAGTAAAAAGACAATCAACAGAATGGAAGAAAATATTGCAAATCATGTATCACATACAGTTTAATATCATACTCCTAAAATTCAACAACAGAAAGACAAAAAACCCAGTTAAAAAAAATCAAAAAACTCAAAACAGACATTACTCCAAAGATATACAAATGAACAATAAGCACAAGAAATGATGTTCATCACCACTAGTCATCATTAGGAAAATGCAAATCAAAACCACAATGAGATATGACTTTACACTCTTGAGGATGGTTACACACATACAGACACAAACACATGGAATATAACAAGCATTGGCAAGAACGTGGAGCAACTGGGAACTTTATACATTGCTAACAGGAAAGTAAAATGGTGCTGCCACTAGGGAAAATGGCTTGATGGTTCCTCAAAAAGATAAGCATAGATTACCATATGATTCAGTAATTCCACTCTTACATATGTACCCAAAAAACTGAAAACACGGACTCAAAAGAGGTATTCGTAGGCCAATGTTCACTGTAGCATTATTCACAATGCCAAAAGTTGAAAACAATTCAAATGTGGGTTTCTGTACTCACCAGAATTAAATTAATTCTATTCAACACTGTCAATAGAATTAATGCTCATGAATTGTGTACATAAAAATTGTGTAAATGGCATACTTTATTATGTTACATATATTGTCACAAGCAAATATTTGAAAAACAAAACCAACCAACCAACCAACCACAGAAGCTAACTTGAAGGGACTCTCACTGGCCAAATTTAAGCATCAAAATAGTGACAGCAATGAATTACAACTCACTGAATAAAATAGGCATCTATTAGTCCATACATATATAAACAAAATTTTGTCTGTTTTAAGGGAGTAAAGAGGTGAGGAGAATGTTCTTCCTTACAATAGAATGCCAGCATAATAAATATAGAAAGAATGGGCTAACCACCCATTAAAACCCATTATATTTGTCTTAGTAGGGTTGGACTGCCGTAACAAATTATCATAGGCTTAAACAACAAACTATTTATATTTCTCATAGTTCTGGAGCTGGGAAATCCAAGATCAAGGTACCAGCAGATCTGGTGTCCAGTGAGGACTTTCTTCTTGGTCTGACGATGGTTGTCTTCTCATTGTATCCTCACATGGTGGAGAGCAAGCTCTTATGTCTCTTCTTAATAAGGCACCAATCCCATTCATGAGGAATCCACCTTTATGACCAAATCTCACCTCCTAAAAGGCCTAACCTCCTAATACTATCATAATGGGGGGCTAAGGTTTCAACATGAATTTGGGGGGACATAAATACTATGTCCATAATATTGATAATTAACTCAGGCAAAACCATCAGTGGATGCTAAAACTAGCAGCTGAAAGTGGAACAGGAAATGATTCAATCACATAGTTTCAAAGTATCTCCACACAAAGCAATTTCAGGGGGAAGGACAACTTAACAGTAAAGAAACTTTGCAGACTCCATCTTAAACAAGTGATAAAAGTCAACTATACCAATAAGGACACAAACAACATGTGCAGCCTATAGGAAGAAAAAGAATTCGGCGGCTGGGCGCGGTGGCTCATGCCTGTAATCCAAGCACTTTGGGAGGCCAAGGTGGGCAGATCACGAGGTTAGGAGTTCAAGAGCAGCCTGGCCAACATAATGAAACCTCGTCTCTACTAAAAATACAAAAATTAGCCAGCGGTGGTGGCACACGCCTGTAGTCCCAGCTACTTGGAGGCTGAGGCAGGGGAATCACTTGAATCTGGGAGGCAGAGGTTGCAGTGAGCCGAGACCACACCATTGCGCTCCAGCCTGGGTGACAGAGTGAGACCTCAGCCTGGGTGACAAGAGTGAGACCTCATCTCAAAAAAAAAAAAAAAAAAAAAAAAAAAAAGAATTCAGCATCACTTCAGGAACTGTCCTGGCAAAAACCTATAACCTAGACCTAATCTCTAATCATGAAGAAATGAAGAAACGCTGGACAAACCTAAACTGAGAAAGAAAAAAAAAAAACTTGCCCTGTATTCATCTTGCCAAAAACACTAAACCATAAAAATCAAGGGAAGACTAAGGAGCTGTTCCAGATTGAAGAAGCTTATGAAAATGTGATTTATGAGCCCAGATTCAAGTTTTTTGCTATAAAGCACATTACTGGGGACATTTCTGGAGACATTAATGAAATCTCTAGTGAAGGGTTACAGGAGTTTTCAGTTATTCTTGCAATTTTTCTTTTTTTTTTTTTGAGATGGAGTCTTGCTCTGTCACCCAGGCTGGATGGAGTGCAATGGGTGAACTCAGCTCACTGCAGCCTCCATCTCCTGAGTTCAAGTGATTCTCCTGCTTCAGCCTCCCGAGTAGCTGGGACTACAGGTGTTTGCCACCATGCCTGACTAATTTTTGTATTTTTTGTGGAGACAAGGTTTTGTCATAATGGCCAGGCTGGTCTCAAACTCCTGACCTCATGTGATCTGCCTGTCTCAGCCTCCCAAAATGTTGGGATTACAGGCGTGAGCCATCACACCTGGTCAATTTTTCAAATCTTTTAATATTTTCTTCCTACAGCACAAAGAATCACTTTGTACACCCCACTGACAAAAACAAAAATACTGACATGGCTTTCCTAACTGCTCAGAACATTACCAATAGATGTAACAATTCTCTTTGCACGGTTCACAATGCATTAAATCTTTTTCTACAACAACAGCTATTTTCTGTTCACAAAGTCTTTCAAGTAGGAAATCGTCAATGAGCCCACCTGATACAGAGAACAGCTTACAGAAGCCAGATAGATGCCAGGCAGTAAAAGCTATAGCTACTGTGATAGCATAAAACCTGAGACATTATTGAAGATAACTCAGACGTCAAGTGAAGACACAAGCAGGTGTGGACAGTACAAATACTCTCTATTCCCTGCTTTTTCTTTGTAAAAATTATGTTTTGTTATTTGTTAAATATGTATAATTCATATTAAAATGTAGGCTACATGAAGACAGAGGCTTTATATTCCCAGAGACTAGAAGAGCATTTGACATATTAGATACCACAAGAAATATTTAATAAATGAATGAATATACCATACAGAATGAACTCCATACTCTGAAAACAGAGAATATACCTTGTTTTAATGCCCATGGTACAGTTATGGAAGCTGATCAACTAATGAACCATTAATAATCAATGGATTTTGAAAGTAAAATTACAGTACAGGCAACATTGTGATCACAGAATAATTAGAATACAGTATGTCAGAATCTGTGTAAATTACTATATATCAGAATCATGGGATACTGTCATGGCACTACTTAAAGGAAATTTCAAACTACTTATATTAGTAAATAAGAAAGAAAAATAATTATCTAAATTAAAATGTTAAGATTTTTATTAAAAAAAATTAAACACACATGTTAAACCATTTTTAGCAGGCAAACTGACATCTATTAATATTTAAAATACATATATATACCCACTGACCCAGAAATTCTGCTTCTAGTAACCTATCTCGTAAAAACTAAAGTACTATTTCATGAAAATATTATGTACTAGAATTTACTGCAGCACTGTTTTGTACTGTAAACAGAGTGACCAGCTAAATTATTTGACATATCCTCACCATGGACTATTACTTGACCATTAAAAAGATTCAATTTGGCCGGGAACAATGGCTCATGCCTATAATCCCAGCACTCTGGGAGACCAAGGCAGGAGGATCGCTTGAGCCCAGGAGTTCAAGACCATCCTAGGCAATAAAGTGAGACCTCATCTCTACAAAATAGTTAAAAAATAAAATAAAATAAAATAGATGGGTGTGGTGGCACACACCTGTGGTCCCAGCTACTCAGCAGGCTGAGGCAGGAGGAATGCTTAAGCCTGACAGATCAAGGCTACAGGGAGCCATGATCACACCATTGCATTCAAGCCTGGGTGACAGAACTTTGTCTCAAAACAAACAACAAAAAAAGACTCAATTAAACAATCAAAAACCCTAAATGTTTATGAATATAGAGAAAAATATAGAAGAACTTATACCAAGATGTTATCATGGCTGTGGGGATTAGAGATTTATATATATGTTTTTATTTCATTTATGTAAAATGTTATATACATACACAAAATGTTATAAAAAAGAGACAGGAAGAGAAAATTAAAATTAACATAAAAACTGTTATTTTACAAACTGAAAAATCACAATGGGAAAGATATAGAATCAACCTAAATGTCCGTCAATGGATGACTGGATAAAGAAAATGTAGTACATATATACAATGGCATACGATTCAGCCATAAAAAAAGAATGAAATCATGTCTTCTGCAGCAACATGCATGGAACTGCAGGCCATTATCTTAAGTGAAACAACTCAGAAACATAAAGTCAGAGACTGAATGTTCTCACTTCTCACTAATAAGTGGAAGCTAAATAATGTGTACATATGGACATAGTGGAATGAGAGACAGAGATTTGGAAGGGTGGGAGGTGAGTGAGGGATGAGAAATTACTTAATGGGTACAATATACATTATTCAAGTGGTGGATACACTAAAAACCCAGACTTCACCACTACACAATATATTCATGTAACAAAACTACACTCGTATCCATCAAATTTATACAAATAAAAAATAATATAAATAAATAAAAACAATTAAGCTAAAATAAATTTCTTGGGAGGTATTTCTTTGGAGGAGAAAGATAAGCCACTAGCTGATCTAGTTTTTAAAAGTGTTTTACAATTCTGCCTTTCACATAGGTCTTAATTATGTCAGATATTATTTGGATATATCAGCTTCCAATGTCATGTTTTTGAAATGTTTGTCCCAGCACACTATTTATTGAAAAGTTCATTCTTTCTCCATTGGATTTGTAATGCCACTGCTACTGTACCCCAAACTCCAGATATATCTAGGTTTATTTGCAGATTCTGTTTCACTGGTCTATTTGACATCAACAGTACAACACTGTTTACATCACTACAGCTTTATAATTATGCACATATGGTATCTTGAGTCTTCACATCTTTTTCAAGGCATTTTTGCCATTTAGCCCTTTACTCTTTCATATTAGTCTTAAAATTAACTTGTCAACTTCCGTGCAAAATAAAAAATAAAAAAAATTTTGATCTTTGACTGGAACCAAATTGAATTACCACCTTAATTTGAGGAGAACTGACACTTATATGATACTGAGTCTTCCTCGCTAAGGATGTCATGATTCTCCTTTTACTCTGATTCACTTTTATTTCCTTTAGAAATGATTTGTAATTTCCTTGTATAGGCCTCATACTCTTTTGGTGAGTTTATTCCTATCACTCATTACAGTTTTCATGCTATAGTATTTTGAAAACAAATTTTCTAATTTATGCTGATAGTTGATCTTATTACATTGGACCTTGCTAATTTCATAATAGTTCTTACAGTCTATAGACTTTCCTAGATTTTCTGCATAATTATATTATCTTTAAGTAGTTGCGTTTTTCATTCTAATTCCTACAACTTATTTATTTTTCGCTTTACTGTAGGCATTGTTACCATGTTGAGTGGAAGCAGTGACTAGATGTCATTGTTTTGTTCTGATTTTAAAGCAAATGTTTCTAATTTTACCATTCAGTACAGCAAATGCCCAATTACCCGGTCAAGGAAATTCTCTTTCCATTCCCAGCTGGCTATTTTTATAACTACTTGGTGATTAATTTTATCAAAGCATTTTTTTCGGCATCTATTCTATTGCTTCTTTTGGAAGAAACAGTCTGCCATGGGTTCTGAATGTCCCTGCACATAATTGCCATGTATGCCAAATTCCAAGACCTAACTATCCACTGACACTGAACAGTTTCTGTAGCTGGTTACAGAGACAATTAAATAGGTTAAGGTGACCACAATGTGACTACTATGGCAGGTCACTCCCAGGGAAAGGAGGACTAGCTTGCTTTCTGCTTTCTACAAAAGGTACCAAGCTCTTGACCCTGGGTTCCACAGCCACAGTGTATCCCACTGTGTGCACAGTCACCATCTGTGCCTATCACATCGCCCTGTGGGATTTGGGGACAGGGAACCTACACTACAATGCTGATCCTCCTGCTGATTGCTGTGCTGTGAATAAAAATCTGTCTTGCTCTGATCCACTGAATCTTGTCTACTTTTGGCATCTTTGGAGTTGTGACAGTTGATGCCTTGCCACTCTCTATGAGACTGGGGTTATTTTCCCTGATAGTTCATAAGAAATCTCTACAAGGCTCCTTTTACAACTTTCGATACCACCACTGTGATGTCATTTAAAAACAAAAACTATCAATCAATTTAAATGTGTCCATCGTTTCTTTCCCACAACTATTCTATTAGATGCCCTCTGTAAGTAATCAAAGCCAACGATTGAGGCCCTTGCAAAATGTGTTTCCCAAAAGGACTTCACTAATTAAAGAAACTGAGATGCCTTATAATAGACTTTGTAAGAACCCAGAATACTTCTGAAAAAAAGCCTTACTTTCTAATTAAGCAAACCTATCAAATCAAATACTAATTAAGCAAACCTCATAATCCATACCACACATTAATAATTTAATAATTAGATTGCAAAACTAAATCACAATAGTTCTTTTTTTTTTTTTTTTTTAGACGGAGTCTCACTCTGTTGCCCAGGCTGGAGTGCAGCTGCACGATCTCAGCTCACTGCAACCTCCACCTCCCAGGTTCAAGCAATCCTCCTGCCTCAACCTCCCTAGTTGCTGGGATTACAGGCACCTGCCACCATGCCCAGCTAATTTTTTTTTCTTTTTTTTTGTATTTTTAGTAAAGGCAGGGTTCCACCATGTTGGCCAGGCTGGTATCAAACTCCTAACCTCAAGTGATTTGCCCGCCTTGGCCTCCCAAAGCACGGAGATTAACAGTGTGAGCCACCGCACCAGGCCCAAATATTTTTAAATATTTTTTTATGAGTTACAAAATGCCAAGAGATGTGGAACACTAGTTATCAGTGCTATTATACTACATAGTCACAAAAAGAATATAATGCTTGTTGCTTTCAAAATTTAAAATCCCAGTAAAATATTTCATCTATGTGCCTTGAGTCTATATTTCCAAAGCAGACATCACAGTGAGTCAAGTATCAAAGTACTTATGCTATTATTTTTATCCTTTTACCTGTATTCAGGTTGCCTGCTTGCAGAATGATCGTCTCTTGTCCATCTATAACCAGATTCATCCTGTAACATAAAAAAGCTACTTAGCTATTTGTTTACATTATTTTGGACAAGTGGGACATATCTAACAATACTACCAGAAACTAGACCGAATTTCCCTAAACTTCAAAGGCATAAAAAGGGAAAAACATTCAGCAAGTCATCCATTTCAACAACTGAAAGAGTAGACTGACTGAGAACCTGTGGTACCATTTATCTCTATTAAAATGCTTAAATTATTTCTTTGGTAGACTCAAACAAGCTAATTGCCAAAGATACATATATCAATATCACAACAGTAAAGGGCTATTTGAGAACAAAGTCTAAATTTAATAAAGCACACATTTCTCAACCTCACATTTTTCCTTCTGTCAAGTTCTCTCACCAATTTTCAGTTTCAAGCCCAATGAAAAACTTGCTACTTTCCCATTTTTCCTGCTCAAGTTTTATTTTCTCACCTTATTTTCAATTAAAAACCAAACTGGAAACAATATAAGAAACTGTCACTTATTGATAATCTATATCAGAATAAGATTTAAATTTATTTAAGTTTAAATAAATTTAAAATTAATCAAACAAAGCACATTTTGTTCTCTAAGACATATTTGCAAAGGTACATAAAAAAGAACCATATAGCAATCCACACCAAATTACTTTAAAATTACACACAGAATTGGCCAGGCGCAGTGGCTCACGCCTGTAATTCCAGCACTTTAGGATGCCAAGGAGGGTGTATCACTTGAGTTCAGGATTTCGAGACCAGCCTGGCCAACATGGTGAAACCCCATCTCTACAAAAATTAGCCGGGCACGGTGGCGTGCACCTATAGTCCCAGTTACTCGGGAGGCTGAGGCAGGAGAATTACTTGAACCCAAGAGCCGGAGGTTGTACTGAGCCAAGTTCTTGCCACTGCACTCCAGCCTGGGCAACAGAATGAGACTCTGTCTCAAAAAATAAATAAATAAAATTATACATAGAATAATACAATATGCAAATTACGTATCAGGAAAACGGATTCGTCTAAAATAAATATCCTCATCTTCCTCTTTAGCATCACACACTCTATTCTTATATAAATAAAATATAATCATTTTCCATCTCAATATTAAATATAAACACAATTCAAAACTTAACAGTGCTAATAAAATATTAAATCAAGTAATCTGCATTACATAACTGAACTCTATATAAGAATTAGTGTCATGAGACTCTTAAGGATCACAAGTATGCTTGTTGTTTGTTTGAAGAGAATTTAAAGAAAAAATGTTATACACACAAAAGTATAAAGACAAACACAATTGGTAACAATATTAGAAAAAACTGCCATTGAAGCTTTATTATGCTACAAGTTTTTAGAAAAAAAATCATTTTCATGAGGTTTCAAATACAAACTGGTCCAATGAATAGAAAACTCACATAGGATTTTCATAAAAGTGGTAACAACTGAGACGGTGCACTAAAATCTCAAACTTTCACCACTATTCAACTCATCCATGTAACCAAAAGCTACTTGAACCCCAAAAGCTACTGAAATAAAATAAAAATGTAATAAATATGAGGACCACAAAAAGCAGCATGACATTCAAAAGCTGAATAAAATAAAAATCAATTCTGTGAAAACTAAGAAAGCTATAAAACCCCAAACTTTAGAAACAAACACGAGAAAACACTGAATAGTCTCATTACAACTTTGGAATTGTTAGGGGTCACTATGATGCAGTAGTAAGAGAAACCAGACTCCCATACATACCGATCCTAAGTAAATCACCTTACCTCCATTTCTTCAAGCGTAAAGTATGAAAACTAATTCCAACAGCCAATGTGAGGTCAAATTATTTTATAAACAGGGTTTGAATATGTACTGTTAATTGTCATATTATACAGTAGGAAAGGGGGAAAAAGAGAAAAGGTGGGAAAACAACCTAGCTAAGGAATACTGAAAACATGCAAGGTAGGACAGAGGAATTCCATCACAGAATAGTATTAAGTTCAACTACAGATTACTGCATCATTAAATACATACTTCTACATTATTAAGAATGCTCAAGAGAAGCGAGTTGTAATAGTAATAATAGCAGCTAACTTTTTTTTTTTTTGAGACAAAGTCTCGCTCTATCGCCCAGGCTGGAGTGCAGTGGCGCGATCTCGGCTCACTGCAACCTCCACCTCCCAGGTTTAAGCAATTCTCCTGCCTCAGCCTCCCAAGTAGCTGGGATTACAGGCACCCACCACCACACCTGGCTGATTTTTGCATTTTTAGTAGAGACAGGGTTTCACCATGTTGGCCAGACTGGTCTCGACCTCCTGACTTCAGGTGATCCACCTACCTAAGCCTCCCAAAGTGCTGGGATTACAGGTGTGAGCCGCTATGCCCAGCCAGCTAACATTTTTAAATTGCTTCCTATGACGATGTTTTGAGTGCTTTCTAATCTCAGTTAATAAATAGACTTTAGGCTGGGAGTGGTGGCTCACACCTATAATCCTAACACTTTGGGAGGCCAAGGTGGGCCTCCCACTTGATCATCAAGTGACCTCCCACTTGATGTCAGGAGTTCAAGACCAGCCTGGCCAACATGGTGAAACCCTGTCTCTACTGAAAACACAAAAATTAGCCAGGCACGGTGGCACGTGCCTGTAATCCCAGCTACTTGGGAGGGTGAGGCAGGAGAATCACTTGAACCCAGGAGGCACAGGTTGCAGTGAGCCGAGATCGCGCCACTGCACCCCAACCTGGGGGACAGAGTAAGACTCTGTCTCAAAAAAAAAAAAAAATTAAGTGGGTTATCTAGTAAGAAATGGTAACCACCTGCTCATCACTTATTAAGTACTAAGACAACAGATTACCTTTAAATGGTTTTGCAAATCCCTGCCAATTTAGGGGAATAAAAAAAGCAGGCTGGTTGGAATTAATTTCATTTAGATAGTGCCACCCAGAGTGCTTACCTACTTTGTCCAGTACCCCAAGATTCTTGACTATTAGGTCCCATCTGACAGCTCCAGCAGGCAATTCACATGAGAGCATCAAGCAGAAAGTGTTTATTCAACTGCTTTCACGGCCGTCACATAAATTTTTAAATTACATTAATTTTAAACTTATAAGAAATAACAATTAGTACATGGGGGAAATTTACATACTCCTCTGTGAGGTGGACCACTTCTTCGATCATGAGAAAAACTGCGGCCCTCGTCATAGTCTCGGTAATCAACATGACTGTAATATCTATTGTAGCTTCCTTCACCAGGTCTGTCTAGCAGTGGTGGTTTCTTTGGCACAATATTAACTAGTCTATTGTAGCCATCCTAAAACAGACAAAAAGAAATATATACAAATGACTAATTTCTCTATTTGGTTTTGGAAAGGTTTTTAAAAAGCACAGGAGTTCTTACCCTTAATCGAATGAGCTAAATGTATAAACAAAAGCGTTAATGAAATAACATAAATATAACTAATACTAAGGTCTTCACATGGATTAAAGGAAATCAAGTTGTTCAACGAAGAAAGCCAGGTGTTCAAAATGACATGCAGCAATGCGAAAACCAATCATAAGTAAAAGAAAAAATACAATATTATCATTTTAGTAAAAAATAAACTTAAGACAGAATGTTACAGTAGCTCTATCCCTAATTGCCTAACAATTTTAGAAATAAAATTATGTAAGACAGCTCTCATATTTGTTCTACTATACTATTTAGAAGAAATATAAGCTATTTACCCACAAGCAACAGCTAATGATGATATTGAGCCAGAATGATCAAAAGGAAACATTTTGCTATTTTTCCAGCAGTAATGGAGGGAGGAGATTGGCTTTACAGGTCTAGAAGCAAAATAAAAGCTGATATAAAATTTGAACTAATTTTCAAAGTACTGGAATACCTTGTTAATGTTTTAAAAAATGAGTAGGTTTTTTGTGAGACTTGGGGAATTGGACGCAGGGAGAACATATGTCTTAGGTTAGTAGCTGCTATAAAATAACAAAAACGATTATCCACAGAAAGAAGTAGAGAGCTACAGAACATATATCTGTACATAATCTGGTCTTGGGCATTCATGACACATCAATCAATATCAAATGAGATATATGTTAAAAAAAAACTGTAAAGCCTGATATAACATAAGATCAATATGAATTAACTAATCTGGAAAAAAACAAAACCCTCTCCCTCTTCCCCTCCCCCTCTCCCTCTCCCGCTTGCCATGGTCTCCCCCTCTCCCTCCTCTCCGTCTCCTGCTTTCCAGGGTCTCCCTCTGTTGCCGAGGCTGGACTGTACTGCCGCGATCTCGGCTCACTGCAACCTCTCCCTGCCTGATTCTCCTGCCTCAGCCTGCCGAGTGCCTGGGATTGCAGGCGCGCGCCGCCATGCCTGACTGGTTTTTGTATTTTTTGGTGGAGATGGGGTTTCGCCGTGTTGGCCGGGCTGGTCTCCAGCTCCTGACCTCGAGTGATCTGCCCGCCTCAGCCTCCCGAGGTGCCGGGATCGCAGACAGAGTCTCGCTCACTCAATGCTCAATGTTGCCCAGGCTGGAGTGCAGTGGCGTGATCTCCGCTCGCTACAACCTCCACCTCCCAGCCGCCTGCCTTGGCCTCCCAAAGTGCTGAGATTGCAGCCTCTGCCCGGCCACCACCCCGTCTAGGAAGTGAGGAGCGTCTCTGCCTGGCCGCCCATCTTCTGGGATGTGAGGAGCCCCTCTGCCCAGTCGCCCACTCTGGGAAGTGAGGAGCGCCTCTTCCTGGCTGCCATCCCATCTAGGAAGTGAGAAGCGTCTCTGCCCGGCCGCCCATCGTCTGGGATGTGAGGAGCCCCTCTGCCTGGCCGCCCAGTCTGGGAAGTGAGGAGCGCCTCTTCCTGGCGGTCAGCCCGTCTAGGAAGTGAGGAGCGTCTCTGCCCGGCCGCCCATCGTCTGGGATGTGGGGAGCACCTCTGCCCGGCCACCACCCCGTCTGGGAGGTGAGGAGCGCCTCTGCCCGGCGACCACCCCGTCTGGGAGGTGAGGGGCGCCTCCCCCAGCCGCCCGGTCTGGGAGGTGAGGGGCGCCCCCGCCCGGCAGCCGCCCCGTCTGGGAGGTGGGGGGCGCCCCCGCCCGGCAGCCGCCCCGTCTGGGAGGTGGGGGGCGCCCCCGCCCGGCAGCCGCCCTGTCTGGGAGGTGGGGGGCGCCTCTGCCCGGCCACCCCCTCTGGGGGGTGGGAGGGCCCCCTCTGCCCCGCCACCACGTCTGGGAAGTGAGGAGCCCCTCTGCCGGGCCACCACCCCGTCTGGGAGGTGTACCCAACAGCTCACTGAGGACGGGCCATGATGACGATGGCGGTTTTGTCAAATAGAAAAGGGGGAAATGTGGGGAAAAGAAAGAGAGATCAGATTGTGACTGTGTCTGTGTAGAAAGAAGTAGACGTAGGAGACTCCATTTTGTTCTGTACTAAGAAAAATTCTTCTGCCTTGGGATGCTGTTAATCTATAACCTTACCCCCAACCCCGTGCTCTCTGAAACATGTGCTGTGTCAACTCAGGGTTAAATGGATTAAGGGCGGTGCAAGATGTGCTTTGTTAAACAGATGCCTGAAGGCAGCATGCTCGTTAAGAGTCATCACCACTCCCTAATCTCAAGTACCCAGGGACACAAACACTGCGGAAGGCCGCAGGGTCCTCTGCCTAGGAAAACCAGAGACCTTTGTTCACATGTTTATCTGCTGACCTTCTCTCCACTATTGTCCTATGACCCTGCCAAATCCCCCTCTCCGAGAAACACCCAAGAATGATCAATAAATACTAAAAAAATTTAAAAAACAAAACAAAACTTACAAAATATAAAGCCCAACCTTCAGAGCTGTTTATCTATCATCCCTGAGCCTGTAAAATGAAATTAATACTAACACCTACCTCATGGCACTGTGAGGACTAAATGAGAAATGGAATGCAAAGTGTTTAGTACCGTGTTCAGGCACACACTAAGTGCTCAAAAAATGTTTGCTATATTCATTACTACTGTGCAAATCTACGGAAAAAAATACTAAGTATCTCAAACTGTTTCCTTAAATTACTTCTTAGCCCTAATGACTACAACAATTCAATTGTTATTAAATGACTATATACTATTCAAATCTCTCAATAGCTAGGAAATTTGTCAATGGGTCAGGAAAAAATAAAATCAGTAGTTTGTATTTATTTGAGAGCTTAAAAGATCTAACTAATTTTTCCCATGGGGATGTAAGGTGGTTACCTCCTTTAGTATGTTAGATATTAAATTATAAGATATATTCTACATTTACATAAAATATGATACACAAATGAATATACTGACTCATTCTTCTACAAACTACCTTTCACAGAGATTTCAATTAAATTTAAGTACTAAGCTGCCCAAAAAAAAAACTGACATTAAGCCAAAATTAGTAAAATTACAATTTACATCATTTCTAATTGAAAATTTGTCACTCATAAAATCAGAATAACTGACTTCTCCAAATTCCAATAAACCATAACAATCCATTACACAATATCCTTGTTTGTTTGTATACGATTATTTGGAGGGATGGTGGGGTGACTATGCATGCCTAAACACTTCTATGAATAGAGAGCTTATTATTTTACAAAGCACTCTGTTCCTTTGTTCAACTGCCCCAGTTATTAGAAAGTTATCTGGGGATTGTAAAATGTATTTGGTAAAACTTTGGCAGAAGTAAAATTCAAATCACACTTAGTTACTTATTTAGAAAAATTGCTTTACCAACTGAGGTAAATGAAAACAATCATTCTTTAAGTTGTTTAAGGCCGGGCATGGTGGCTCATGCCTGTAATCCTAGCACTTTGGGAGGTCAAGGCAGGTGGAGCACTTGAGGTTAGGAGATTGAGACCAGCCTGGCCAACACGGTGAAACCCCGTTTCTACTAAAAAAAAAAAAAAAAAAAAAAAAATTAGCCAGGTGAGGTGTGCATGCCTGTAGTGCCAGCTACTCAGGAGGCTGAGGTAGGAGAATCGCTTGAACCCAGGAGGTAGAGGCTGCAGTGAGCTGAGCTCGCACCACTGCACTCCAGCTGGGGCAACAGAGCAAGACTCCATCTCAAAAAAATAAATAAAATAAAAATAAAAGCTGTTTAATCAGCAAAAGAAAACAAAAATTCAATGACAGCTCTTATACCTGGCTATAAAGACCAAGTTGGTATTTCGAGAAAGTGTTCAAATATATGTACATTATACTATCTCTGCTCTGTAGATACCTGATCTTAAAGAAAACTCCCTAGCTATATGAAAAGATTTAAGGAAACAAAGATGACTGCAGGAGCCTGTAGCAAAGAGGACTGTATTTTTAAAGCGTTCGTGTCTTATCCAGGTATATCATTCAAGGATTTCTGTTCCCAATAAAATCTATGATGAGTGGCAAAGAATTCAGAATTTCCCTTTCAAATTCTTTGAGATGGAGTCTCACTCTGCGGCACAGGCTACAGTGCGGTGGTGCAATCTCAGCTCACTGCAACCTACACCTCCTAGGTTCAAATGATTCTCCTGCCTCAGCCTCCCGAGTAGTTGGGATTACAGGTGCATGCCACCATGCCCAGCTAATTTTTGTATTTTTAGTAGAGACAGGATTTCACCGTACTGGTCAGGCTGGTCTCGAATTCCTGACCTCAGGTAATCCACCTGCCTACGCCTCCCAAAGTGCTGGGATTACAGGCATGAGCCACTGCGCCCGCCCCTTTCAAAAAGATTATATTGTTGAAATTCAAACAGTATTTTTATTACCTGCATTGCCAGACATGAATACAAATAATAACACTGAAATTCTTATGCAAATCTTACATTAAGCTGTAAACATGTAATTTTCCTTTCTGTATGCTAACATAGGTACACAGACTTAAGGTACTACTGAAATGTTCGGAACCTCCATTTTAGAAAGATATTGGCAAAAAGTCAATTTAAAAATGGACAAAGACCATAAACAGGCATTTCTCCAAAGAAGACATAAAAATGGCCAGCTCCCCAGCTGTAGGCAGCTTTCTAGGTTGCCTTGTACCTAGGCAAGCATTACACTTCTGGGAGAACAGTAGCCAATAGCTGATTGGCATTCTGGCCTGGTTCATGCCACCTCTATGTTGACTACACCAGGATGCTAGTTGAAAAGAAACAAACAAACAAAAAGGCCAGCTGGGTGCAGCTGCTCACACCTGTAATCGCAGATACTTGGGAGGCTAAGGTGAGAGGATCCCTTGAGCCTAGGAGTTCAAGGCTGCAGTGAGCTGACTGGTGACTGCACTCCAGCCTGGGAAAACAGAGTGAGATGCCATCTCCAAGTAATAATAATTTTTTTAAAAAAAGGTCAACAGTTATATGAAAAGGTGCTTGACATCACTAACCACAGGGAAAATGCAAATTAAAACCACTATGAGATATCCCCTCACACCCTTAAGGATGGCTATGGTCAGAAAGACAAGAGATTACAAATGTTGGTGAGGGTATGAGAGAAAGAGAACCCTAATACATTGTTGGTGGGAATGTAGACTGGTACAGCCATTATGGAAAACAGTATGGAAATTCCTAGAGAAAGTAAAAATAAAACTACCACATGACCTAGTAATCCCTCTTCTGGGTATACTGTATACCCAAAGGCGATGAAATCACCACCTGTTCAAGATATTCACACTTCCATGTTCACTGCAGCATTATTCACAATTGCCAAATTTAGAAACAACTTAAGTTCCTATGGATGAACAAATGGATCAAGAAAATCTGGTATATAAATATATTAGTGGAATATTATTCATCCTTATAAAAAGAGGGAGATACTGCTATTTACAACACATGGATATACCCGAAGGACATTATGCTAAGTGAAATAAGCTAGATACACACACAAAAAAATATTGCATGATAATCATTTATATGTGGAATTTAAAAAAAACAAAAAAGAGCTCAAATACACAGAGATAGAGGATGAAACTGGTTACCACGGGTAGGGGAAGAAATGGGGAATGGTAAGTCAAGGAATACAAAATAGGTAAGTAAGATGAATAAGTCTAGAGATCTAATGTACAATATGAGGACCAAAATTAATAAAATTGTATTGCATTAGAAATTTTTGTGAAATATACAAATTTTAGGTGTTCTTATCACACAAAAAGGTAACTATGTGGGATGATGAATATGTTTGTCTCCTTCACTACAGTAACCACTGTACTATGAATATGCATCCATGTGTACCTGCATCTATATGTATCCCATAACATCATGTTGTGAATCTCAAATATACACAATAAAATTTAATGTTAAAAATAAGTAAACAAAAATAAAAAATGGAAAGAAAAAAGAGGAAAATACCTTGAAAAACAATGGCACCATAATATACAAACCAGAAAAAAAAATTATGACTTGTAAAGACTATCTTAAAAGGTTAACAGGGTCATTTTCAAGTAATCAAAAAATAAACTCATTGGAGTTGAAACATTTCTATTATTTCAAATGCAGATATTTCAAATCTTGAATTTAAATATAAAATCTCAATTTACTCAATCAATGATATCAATTTTCACTGCTTCTATTTATTAAAAATATCTACATACTAATATAAATATTAATATATATCTACATATTAATGATTATATAAGTATCCTTATTAAAAAGATCAGAATTTTCTGTGGATGTTACTAGAATTTCCAAAAAATATGCATAGAATTTATTGGATTTGCTACTCCAAAGTTAGTATTAATGGTGTTAGTATTAATGGTATGATCAGTCAGACCAAAAATAAAAAGTATATGTAGCTCATTTAAAATGAAAGGTCTATCTAATGATAATTTACCTACTCTGGCAGGGTATTAAAAAAAAAACTTGCACATAAACTTAAATACTTTTGGAAAGTTATACTTCAATGAAATTTAAACTTTCAAATCTGTCATCATCTTAGGGATGAGGTCTCACCCCTAAGATTACTACTACAAGACCCTCTAAGTGTGTGTAATAAGAATTCTTTGGTTTGCTTACGTTAATGAGAATCTGGTCAGAATAAAATACCTAGTTTTCCAACTGGTGAAATGGTTTTGTTAGAAAATAATCAGCTACTTCTTAATTTGCCATACATTCCAATATACCTATCGGTTACAGGAAATGCTTTCATTTTAGTAAGTAAAAGCACCAAGTTGATGGTTATTTGATTCAATATAAAAATCTGTATCAAATTTTTCACACTGGCTGGGCACGGTAGCTCACACCTGTAATCCCAACACTTTGGGAGGCTGAGGGGGGCAGATCAGTTTGAGGCCAGGAATTCGAGACCAGCCTGGCTAACATGGTGAAACCCCATCTCTACTAAAAATACACAAAATTAGCCAGGTTTAGTGGCACACATCTATAATCCCAGCTATATGGGAGGCTGAGGCACAAAAACTGCTTGAGCCTGGGAGGCAGAGGTTGCAGTGAGCCGAGATTATGCCACTGCACTCCAGCCTGGGCAACAGAGCAAGACTCTGTCTCAAAAAAAAAAAAAAAAAATCCACACTGTTGTTAAATCTCATAAGTAACTAGGTAAAAATTGTATGAATTACCATGTTTCTTTAAAAATATTTCTTTTCCAATATGTCATTAAAATTTACTCATTTTCACATAAAATCATTTAATTTAAAATGAAAGTATTAATATAAAAGTAAAAGTATTAAGCCCATCCCCCCCAAACATTTTTATCTTCTAGCAACACATATTGAAATACTTATTGACATTTTAAGTGTGATATCATGGTTTTACTTCAAAATAATCTAGGAGGGAAGAAAGTGGTAGAAGCATAGACAAAACAAGATTGGCAATGAAGCTGATAGTCGATTTCTCCTTTGGGAGTTGATCACATTAATGTGTGTTATTATATGCTTGATATTTCCCCTTATAAAACATCAAATAACAACGAAAACACACTAACCTACCAAAGAAGTAAATACGATGGCATATGTAAATAATCAATGCCATTATGTCCTATCACAATCAACTTACAATGCAAATGTAAGCCTACAAAACCTTTATTGGTCTTATTTACTGCTCTATTCCCAGCACCTAGAACAGCACCTGGCACACAGTAAGCACCACATCCATAATATATATATTATACCCTGCTATCTCAATTTTATTTTACTTCTGGCATCACATGCTTTTTACAGAAAAGTACCATACAAACCACACCTAACTAAAATATTCTATTACACAGGCTGGTAGGCTTTTGCTTTCATAAGCTTGTAATTTCCTAACTCTGATCCCTATAGTCTATGACATACATTCTTATTTTAGCACTTGTTGATTTATTTCACTCACTGATTCTTGAATGAAATATTGGTGTTTCTGAGTCATTCCAACGTCTTTTGGTGACAGTGTGTCAAAAACATAAAAACTGGTATCGACCCAGAGAGCTAAGGCATCTTATTCGAGAATGTAGCCAAGAATTGATCACATTTCTTCTGAAAACAGTGACAACAAAAAGAAAGTTAAGTCCTTGCAATTCTGTCAGCAAAGAAAGTAAAACACCTCTTAGGGCAACTCTACAGAAGGGAACATTACTAAATCAAACTCAGCAAAGAAACACTTTTTTTACATTTCATGTATGTAATTTTCCCATTAAAAAAAACTATTAAAAAATTGCACTCTAGCTAATAATACATATGCTTGAGTAGTTAACGGGAAGGATACTGTTGTCCACAATTTACTTTGAAATGTATTCAAAAACATAGATGGATTAATTGCATGAATAAATACATGATAAAGCAAGTTTAGTAAAATGTTAATAGTTGAGTCTAAATGGGGAGTATATGGATGGTCACTATAAAAATTCTTTTGACTGATGTATGTTTGAAAAATTCCATAATAAAATATTGGGAAGTTGTACTTACATGGGAAAATTTACATGAACACTGATGACTGTATAAAACAATAATAATATGTGGGGCATAAAAAGAACAGAAATTTAAATATGCCTGTGAAGATTTTGAATAAAAGTGTTTCATGAAATAAGAATGGAAAGAAAAAATATTTCAACATTAATACATTTTAAACAATGTTATATGGAATATGTATATAACTGAATTACTAAATTAAGTAGACCTGACTGTCAAGTTAGTCAAAAGAAAAATGTCTGGATTATGGTTTGAGTACATTTACATTTGAGAACAGGTGGAACTGATATGCATCCCATCTATTCCCTATAAAGGCTCAGATATTAACAAAATCATGTTCTGGATTTACTAAAGGATTTATTTTTGATTGGCCAAACTCTCTAGGAGAGAGAAATAAACAATGACAAGAATTATAAAAAAGATTCAATTAATCTAAGGAAGTAAATATTGTTATTTAACTACTTAATTACAAAAACTAATTATGTAACTCATATTTACCACAAATGTGACAGAAAAATAACGTGTTGCTGTTCTTGACATCACTACTAGTCAATATTGTTCTCCCTGCTGCTGCCAAAACCAGAAAAATCTTTTAATGCAAAATAATGTATTTGTTAAAGAAACAGAAAAATGAAGCAGGGATAAGCAGATAGGACTGCTTCAGCCCCAGCTCTGTTGTAATTGCCCAGAATATAAACTGCTAGTGCTCTGATCCTAATTTCCAAACATTACAACTTTTAAAAATTCTGAAACTGGAACTTCTCTCCCATTTTCAAATAAGCTAATGAAAAAATCGACATTTTATGTTGCAGCTTCATTAAAATGTTCCATATTACCTAACTGTTCTCCAACAGGCTAAGAAGCTGGAACCCCATAAGTGGAAGTTTACATGTATTTAAAAGCCATTCTGGGCTGGGCATGGTGCCTCATGCCTGTAATCCCAACGATCTGGGAGGCCAAGGTGAGAGGATCACTTGAGCCCAGGGGTCTGAGGCTGCAGTGAGCTGTGGCTGCTCCACTGCACTTCAGCTGGATGACATAGCAAGACCCTGTGTGTATGTACATATGAACGAATGAATGAATGAATGAATGAATGAATGCCATTCTGTCACAAAACTTGATAAAGGTTAAGAAATCAGATAACTAAGCTCATAGAAATTATAGGTTTAAAGACAGAAAGCATGCTTTAAAAACAAGAGCTTTACAGGTACCTAGAAGTGTAGATATTCTGTGGTGACTGATTTCCTTCCTATAGAAGAAGCATATATATTTACATACAAAATCTCTGTAGTGCACTTCTTTGAACTTTAGTCTGCTACCTACCTACCCAAGTTTAAGGCCAAATAAAAATTTCTGTGAAAGCCCCTTATAAAAGTGACTTACTATTTATACATAAAGAATTTAAAAGCGCCTGGGCGCGATGGCTCACACCTATAATCCTAGCACTTTGGGAGGCCAAGGCAGGCGGATCACGAGGTCAGGAGATCGAGACCATCCTGGCTAACACGGTGAAACCCCGTCTCTACCAAAAATACAAAAAATTAGCCGGGCGTGGTGGCAGGTGCCTATAGTCCCAGCTACTCGGGAGGCTGAGGCAGAAGAATGGCGTGAACCCGGGAGGCGGAGCTTGCAGTGAGCCGAGATCGCCCGCTGCACTCCAGCCTGGGCGATAGAGCCAGACTCCGCCTCAAAAAATAATAATAATAATAATAATTTAAAAGCATACCATAAAGTGCTAAAATAATGACTGGTACATTTGTTAAGCTGTATATTGAGGATAAGTTTGCCAAAACTCAAATTAAGTATAATTTAACATCAAAACCAAAGTATATTAGTGTTCAATTGTCTTTTCAGGTTTATCAAGGCTAGAAACTCAGAAAACAGCTGCTTTTATTAACGAGGTCATACTACTACAGAAGGTACCTTACCTTCCCAACAGTCACCACTTCACGTTGCACTTTATATCACATCTAGTAGTTCCTCAAATACATTTATTTTGTATCAGAATTGATCATAAATGGGGCAAAGAGTGTACTAAGAAAAAACGGAGAAGCCGGGCACGATGGCTCACGCCTGTAATCCCAGCACTTTGGGAGGCCGAGGCGGATCACCTGAGGTCAGGAGTTTGAAACCAGCCTGGTCAACATGGCAAAACCCCACCTCTACTAAAAAATACAAAAAATAGCCAAGCGTGGTGGTAGGCGCCTGTAATCCCAGCTATTCAGGGAGGCTGAGGCACAAGAATCGCTTGAACCTGGGAGGCAGAGGTTGCAGTGAGCTGAGATCATGCCACTGCACTCCAACCTGGGCGACAGAGCAAAACTCCATCTCAAAAAAAAAAAAAAAGAAAGAAAGAAAGAAAAAAAGGGAGAGAAATTCTGTAAAATTGTTTTTTGATAAAGAACAGGATTCAAATACATAAAACAAAATAGAATGTTACCTTCCTCTATTCCAAGCACTAACGATAGTGGGTTATCAACTTAACTAGTTTTATATTTTGCAAAAAAAATCTGCCTTTTCAAAACTTTTGAGGTATGCCATACATATAAAAAAGTGTACAAATCACAAATGGATAAATTTCACAAGGTGTAAGTACCACCCAGATTAAGAAAGAGAATATTCCCAGCGCAGCAAAATCGTTCATTGTGCGGTCTCCCAGTCACTACTGCCTCTTCCCAAAAGAAACCACTTTCCCAGCTAGTTTCACTTGTTTTGGAATGTTACATAAAATGAAACACGCAGAATAAACTCTTGTGACTGACTTCTTTCTTTTAATATTATATTTGTGAAGTTTATCCATGTTGTTGCACTTGGCAGTAGCCCATTGATTCTCATTGGTGTATAATTTAAACAATCAACTTCACTGTTGGACATCTGGTTTGTTGTCAGTTTGAAGCTCTTACAAATAATGCTTCTTATGAACTTTCTCATATACATCAATATGATATGCTAATATGGTTTTTAAAATAACTAGATTATCTAAGCAAATATTTTTAAATCTTTTTTTTTTTTTTTTTTGAGACAGGATCTCTCCCTCTGTTGCCCAGGCTTCAACGCAGTGGCACAAAACACAGCTCACTGCAGCCTCAACTTCCTGGGCTCAAGCAATCCTCCTGCCTCAGCTTCCCAATGTAGGTGGGACTACAGGCATGCGCTACTATGCATGGCTAATTTTTAAAATTTTTTGTAGAGACAGGGTCTCACATTGTTGCCCAGGCTGGTCTCAAACTCCTGGGCTCAAGTGATCCTCCTACCTCGGACTCCCAAAGTGCTCAGATTATAGGCAAGAGCCACTGTATTCAGCCTTAAGCTTTTAATAAGTTATATTTTTATTAAAGTAAGAAAGTATAACTATTTACATTTCTAGTTCAATTACTTTAACCCAAAGATTCAGTGGGTCCATTAAATGAGATGTGAACACAAAATTACTTTTTTCAACTAACTTTAGATAATAACAACAGCAGATGTATCTGTGACTTTGTTACCAAAAGAGATCACAGATAATTTTATACCATGTTACATCTAGCTGTTACAGGTATTGCAAAATATCATTTGTAACACTCATCACTACTTTGAAATTACAGCAATGAAACCACCACCAGTAGCTTTTGATATTTAATGACCTACTAAAGAACTATGTATTACTGTATCACAAATTTGGTTTTTAATAGCTTGATAATCATTCTCAAATGTAAGTGCACTTAGTTCTGTGCATTTTATTTATAGGTTTAAAAATGTTATTCTGAGAAGGGATCCATAGGCTTCACCAGACAGCTAAAGGGATCCATCGCACAAAAAAAGGTTAAGAATCTACACTTTATTTAACTAAGATGCAGGTGTAACACAGAAGGCACAGGGGATAATTTTCAAGAGCCATCTAAGGGGTACAATGTATTGAGGGAAAGAGAAGGCTTTAAATTACTAACCAAAATAAGGCCAAGTGCACCAGAAAAAAAAAATGCACCTGAGTCTTGGGAAGGAGGGATATGGATATACAGAAAGAAGGATTTGTATAAACTAGGAGAGGCTGATTGGGGGAACAGAAAGACCAATCTAATGGAATTGAAGAAAAAGGAGAGAAATGAACCTGTACAAGGTCTGGTCAGGTCCTGTGCTCTCAAAAAGAGAAAAACAATCTAGGCTCCTCCATGAGGAACCAAGCAGCCAGTTAACTTAAGGAAGTAAGGTTTACCTTTAGGCATTTAAGAGACAGCTGAATACATCTAGTCTGATTTTAAGGACAATATCTCCCTACCTGCTTGCTTCTGATAAAATTATTTTATGAGGGATAAGAAGCCTCTGTTTCATATTTACACAAACACAGATAATATTAAATGAAAATGGTTTTGTTTAGATTTTTCCGCAATATGCTGATTCATTAAAGACTTCCATCACCTGTCATTTTTACCTCAACTCCTGTCACTATGACTTCAATTCAAATACATCTGTATTTTTTAAATTCTGCATGTAAGAATCACTTGAACTTTTAAACAATACTGAGGTCCACATCACACCCAAAGAGACAATAATTTAATTATCTAAGACGGGGCCCATACAGTGTTACTAAAGAGCTCTCTAGGAAATTTTAACGTACAACAAGGATTGAGAGCTTCTGATCTAAATCACAAATCTAAAGTCTATCCTAATAGTTTCATTGCTCTCAACTCCAGTAACTTACACTAGCTCTCTATTCTCATTGTCACACACTGAACTTCACTCAAAACTGTTCCATCTTGGAAACCCCACACTCTAAAATACCGATTGCCTATCTTTCTACCATACCAAAGCCTTTCCTAAGCCTTTCCTGTCCCTCAACCACTCATTCTTTCAATTTCCTGTCCCTCTCAGCCTCACTCTCTTTCTTTATCAGCCAACACCAAATGGTGTATTACTTCAATAATTTTCTGGGTCAGCACCTTCAACATCCTTATCCCCTGGATCCACTACTCATCTTACAATCTTAAATCGATACAATAACCTGCTTTCCCCAGTCCCAAAGTAATAAAGCACACAATCCTACAGACTGGTGCCCAGTTGATGGCATAACCACACAGAAAACCCTTTTAAGTATCTTCAAAACACAGAATTTAAAACTCCTAATGGGGCCTGGAGTGGTGGCTGACGCGTGTAATCCCAGCACTTTGAGAGGCCAAGGTGGACAGATCACTTCAGGCCAGGAGTTCGAGACCAGCCTGGCCAACACGGCAAAACCCTGTCCCTACTAAAAATACAAAAATTAGATGCGGGTGCAGTGGCAGTGGCTCATGCCTGTAATCCCAGCACTTTGGGAGGCTGAGGGGGGTGGATCACTTGAGGTCAGGAATTCGAGACCGGCCTGGCCAACACGGTGAAACCCCGTCTCTACTAAAAATATAAAAATTAGCCAGGCGTGGTGGCTTGTGCCTGTAGTCCCAGCTACTCAGGAGGCTGAGGCAGGAGAATCGCTTGAATCCAGGACACAGAGGTTGCAGTGAGCCAAGATTGTACCGCTGCACTCCAGCCTGGGCAAGAGAGTTAGACTCCATCTCCAAATAAATAAATAAATAAATAAAATAAAATAAAATAAAATAAAATAAAAATAGCCAGGTATGGTGGCATGCAATCCTAGCTACTCAGGAGGCTGAGGCACAAGAATCGCTTGAACCCGGGAAGTAGAGGACGTAGTGAGCCAAGATCGCACCACTGCACTCCAGCCTGGGCTACAGAGTAAGACTGCCTCAAAAAAAAGAAAAGAGGCCAGGCATGGTGGCTTATGCCTGTAATCCCAGAACTTTGGGAGACCAAGGTGGGCAGGCCACCTGAGGTCAGGAGTTCGAGACCAGCCTGGTCAACATGGTGAAACCCCATCTCTACTAAAAATACAAAAATTAACCAGGTGTGGTGGTGGGCACCTGTAATCCCAGCTACTCAGGAAGCTGAGACAGAAGAATCGCTTGAACCCAGTGAGCCGAGACTGCACCACTGCACTCCAGCCTGGGCGACAAGAGTGAATGAGCCAAGACTGCGCCATTGCACTCCAGCTGAGGTGACAAGAGTGAAACTCCATCTCAAAAAAAAAAAAAGAAAAAAGAAAAAAAAAAACAGAACAATTCCTAATGGGATATATCCTTGGCAGAGTGGCAGAGGGGAGAGGGGAGATAAAGAAAAAAGTCATCCCTTTTCCCTACAGGTAAACTACAGAATAACCTTATCAAGTAAAAAATATAAATAAAAACATTGGGATTTTGATTGAAAACATGAAGTCTACAAATTCACCTGGAAATAAATGACATATAGTAATAATTAAGTCTGGCCATCCTGAAGTATAATGGGCATCTTTATTTTTTCCATCTTAAATCATTTTAAATCAACCCCAACCTGGATTGTAATCTAGGACAACGACAAACCTAAAGACGATACCACCCATCTAAGTGGGCTATAGGATTAAATGTTACATAAGTAAAAAATAACTAACGTAGACATAAATATTTGTGGCTTTTGATGGTATATAATGAATCTATAATATATTCATATACTATCACCACAACCTTAGTCCCTTGGTGCTTAGAATGGGTCTGTGCAAAAGTTTAAGTTAGCTTTTTAACCTTCCCCAAACCCTCCTTTAGACCTCCACAGGGAATTCTGGGGAGTCAGTACACATATTCACTCAAATAAATATTGAGCTTCTATTACCTGCTAAGTACTAGATGTAGCACTGGAAATAGTAAACAAAACAGTAAGTTCTTTGGGCTTAGAAAAGGCTTGGCTCAAAATTCCCAATTCCCAGAGCAACGAGAGACAAGAAGTAGGACAGCACACCAGAAGCTGCCTGTCTGCCTGACCCTGAGCCTCCAGGCATTCTTACTTACCAGTCAGACTGCCTGACCACAGGACAGCACACCTGCAGGAATCCTAACAAGGGATATTAACATGTTTCCACTCTAGGAAGAGTTCTCCTCTCTTAGAATGAAAGCCTACTTTTAGAATTTCATATATTCAATTTGTAACATTTTTAGGAATATAGAAAAAAATAGGTAACAGCCAATAACAGCAGGAGCAGGTACTCAAATACTTCTTTGCTAACTGATGGTATAATCTTTATAAAATCTGTAATTTTGTTCACAAATTAAATTCAATATAAACCCTTCATTTTAGAAATTTAAACAAGAAATATAAATAATAAGTTTTCTACTTAAATAAAATGTTGTCTTTTATTTTTGAACTTTTAACTTTTAAAAGATAAGCTTGATCTCTTTTGTAAACTACACTGGTAAATTTCTGACACTTGAAGATTTTGTTAATAGGCCTAGCTTTGGTGTATCAAATTAATTCAGACACCAGGTTTTTGAATCATTCAATATGTAGGAGTAACTTACACTGGGATGACTTCGAGGAGGTGCTCGTTCTCTCGGAATTCTTTCATATTCATATCGTCCCTCAGACCACATTTCGTCTCTTCTGTAAGCCACTAAAGAAAAAAAAAAGAATTATGGATTTTATACTAGGAAGTAACAGAAAAGGTAAGGAAGGAGTAAATGATTACTTTCCAACACAAATATTTTCCAGAGATCTTAAGAGAAAAAAAAAAAATGAAAGTGACCAAAAGAAAGAATGTTTCTTCCAAACAATTTTGAGATTTTCTTTAAAAAAAAAAAAAAAAAAACACGGAAAGCCCTATCTTCCTTCTTAGGCAAGACTATTTAAAGCTTCAAAGAGATTGTTGCCATCAATTATGGGAGGAAATTGGTGGCACACTTCAGACCACAAATACTTCTTCATTCTCCTACAGCAAAAAACAGAAACGATTCATTTTTTAATGAATCGTTTAAATGGCTGATCGGCAAAGTTATTCCTATTTCCTGGTGAATAGTTCGTATAAATAACATTAGTTTTTTGCTTTTCTACAGTCTTCATTTAATATATATCTACTCTCTCTATGTTAAATAATGTGTTTTTAACTGAAAAAAGTGTTAAAAGAACAATCCTGCAAAAACACACTCAACAATCCCTGAAAGAAACCACTCCTGATTTTTTTAACGCTATAAATTTATTTTAATGCAAAAGCCACCTCACAAAATGTGAAATTAAAAGTTCTGTCAACATTTTTCAGGTTTGGGATTCAGAGAAGGGGGGGGTGGGACGGTGTATTCTTTTCATAAATGCTTCCTACTTTGAGGAAGGTGAATATGGTGTTAAAGAATTCAAGGGTATATAGCCACAAGAAGAGATGAAAATAGAAACTGAACAGACAAAAGACAAGGTAAACAAGGCAAACAAGAGAAAATGAGAATAGGGTAGGGGAAAAGAGACCATTTATATGAAATGGCAATACTATAAATCAGAAGTTGGCAAATTTTTCTTCAAAAGATCAGACAAATATTTTCGGCCTTGTAGGTCACAGATCTCTTTTACAACTACTCACATCTCCACCCATAGACAATACACATAAATGTATAAGTGTGTAAACTGGATTTACAAAAACAGGCTAGCGCTTGCAGGCAGTAGCTTCACAACTTCTGGAGTGGATGACAAATGGTTAACAGAGAAGAACCAGGAGAAAGTGAAGCAATCATGAAGCAGGTTCTAAGCCAAGAACTGTGAACCATCCTGATGTACAGAAGAACCACCATGAGCAAAAAATGAAAATGGTCCAGGTAGTAAGTTAGTACCTTTCAGTACACAGAAAGTAGGGCACAGATATGTGAAGAAGAAACACATTTCAAAAAAGACTTAATGTCAAAAGATTTTTGGTGGCTCCTTATAATGTAATACTAAGGGAGGGGCAAACAGATAGCTACTCCATTTTGACAGTACAGAACAGCTATAGAATTCTAATGGTTCAGTTAGTTTAAGTTAAGGAAAAATTAAAGGCTGGAAGAAGGGTGCAACTTTTTTTCTTGATATTATTATAGCAAAGCAACCAATTTTCTCTGCAAAAACACAACTATAATATTTTCTAATACAAACAGACCCAATATAATGAATTAACTAGCCAAAGATGCCTAGGAAATCTTACTTTAAATTAAAAATTAACTTTTTCTCAAGACACACATTCAAGAGAAAAAAATTAGCTTTTAACATTATGCATGAATAAAACTGAATTCTCTGTCTACAATAAGACCTCATTTAATAATGTATGATTCCAAGCAATCAGTCTTTTAGGTGCAAGAACTATGGAAGCTTGAAAGGGAAGTAAATTGTCAACATTACTCCTCCTCCCCCACCTTTACTGAATCCACTAAAGGTTTCAGTCTAAAGAGTTAGATTTTATCCTTTTTAAGATACAGTACAGAGAAATAGTAACAGCAATGAAGTAAAGTCAAATCAAAGGGGAAAAATGTCAATAGCTATACCCAGAAGAAAAACAGACATATAAGCAAACAGTTCACAAAAAAATACAAATGGCTCTTAAAAATCTTTTGAAAAGATGTTCAACCTCCTTCAAAATAAAGAAGATGAAAACCAAAACTATAATGGCATACTTATTTTCATCCAAAAGCTCTGCAAAAATCCAACTGCAGTGATGAGATTAAGGAAAGCAACACTTACATAGGTTAGTAAAGGAGGTTGGCCGGGCGCAGCGGCTCACGCTTGTAATCCCAGCATTTTGGGAGGCCGAGGTGGGCGGATCACGAGGTCAGGAGATCGAGACCATCCTGGCTAACACAGTGAA
Source organism: Homo sapiens (assembly GCF_000001405.40). Lineage (NCBI taxonomy): Eukaryota > Metazoa > Chordata > Mammalia > Primates > Hominidae > Homo > Homo sapiens. Next base: position 42,333,677 of record NC_000012.12, on the reverse strand, counting down.
ACTCTGTCTCTACTAAAAATACAAAAAATTAGCTGGGCGTGGTGGCGGGCGCCTGTAGTCCCAGCTACTCGGGAGGCTGAGGCAGGAGAATGGCATGAACCCGGGAGGCGGAGCTTGCAGTGAGCTAAGATTGTGCCACTGCACTCCAGCCTGGGCAACAGAGTGAGACTCCATCTCAAAAAAAATAAAAATAAAAATAAAAAATAAAAAATAAAAAAAAGGAAGTATAATTGGTACAGATTGGGAAGAATTTGGCAATATTTATTAAAATTTTAAAAACACATATGCTTTGACCTGGCAATTCTACTTCTAGGTATACTTGTACACTTGCATAGCAAAGATTGAAAGGAACTTAAAATATCCATCAAAATAGCACAAATTAAATTGCTGAACCAATCAGTTACATTTATACAAAAGGAATATTTTGTATTCCTTTTGTAAATTGATCAATTATATTTATACAAAAGGAGTATTTTTGCAAACCATTTCAAAGAAAAGTAACCCCAGTAACAATATGAAAAGACTGCCAAGATATACTGCTAAGCAAAGAAAAGCACAGTAAAAAGACCAGGTATGAATATATATGCATATGTACAGACTACTCCTGGGAGTAACAAGAGAATGCAACAGCAATTGCCTCTGGGGAGAACTAGGTAGCTGGGCAGAGGATGAATATTTTACTGCATAATGTATATATACTATTATGTATTACAAAAGTATGTAACTGTTTTTAAAGTTCCTGAAAATCATTCAATAAGCATAACATGTGAAGTGATGATAAAAATGATGAATGTAAATTAATATACTAAAGGAGAATGTAAATAAAAATAAGGTTTTGTAATAAATGAGAAAAATAAACAATAAGAGTTCTAAAGAAATAGTATGTAGTTTAATACTGAAATATTAAAATTTACCGGTGTCCCACAAAAAATGTAACAATAACTACTATATTAAATACTACTATACTATACTTACTTGAGTCCTTTTAGGAATCAAATTTAACGTTTTCAACAATTTCCTGTAAGGGGGGGAAATACAGACGTAAAGATTTGTGTCTGTATAAACCAACCAATATAGAGAAATAATTAAATCTTCATTAATTGTATAAACAGAACTCTCAGGCCAAACTCGCTTCAAACACACTCTTGAAAATAGAAGATATCATTTTGGCCACCAGAGGCCACCCAAGTTTCATAAGAACAAAATTATAATAACAGAATTCTAGTCCTAGAAGTCTAGTCTAGAATTTTGCCAGTTGAGAGCTGGGCAGGTCATCTCTCTTATCCTTATCTCTGAGATTGTACTAGATGTTTAAGGTTGTTTTTAGCTGTTATTGTAAACAATGACTTCAAAATACCTCCATAGTTTAGTATGATGAAAATTACCATCTCCTATGGTAATTAGAAGACAGAATACACTAATATCACCTTATATTCAAATGGAAACTTGCAATTTTCTTTTTCTTTCTTTTCCTTAGACAAGGTCTCACTCTGTTGCCCAGGCGGGAATGCAGTGGGGCAAACACACCTCACTGTAGCCTTGACCTCCTGGGCTCAAGTGATCCTCCCGACTCAACCTCCCTAGTAGCTGGAACCACAGGCATACCACCACACCTGGCTAATTTTATTTTTTATCAAGTCATGGTCTTACTATGTTGCCCCCATGCTAGAACCTTGTAATTTTTAAAGGATTTAAAAATAGCTGATAAGTACAGCAAGCTTCCTGATTAGCGGCATATGTTGTTTATGATATTATCCAGGCTTAGGAAATTGACCAATCAGTTACATTTATACAAAGGTGTTCAGACTCCCAGTGAGTGATCATGTTACCTGCCACATCATCACTACATCTCCTCATATCAGTGCAGTTTCGATGGTACTCCAGAAAAGTTATCTAAGCCAACAAGATATTCAAACTGAAGAATCAACAGAACAATAGAAGGACCCTCTACATCACAATTAGGCAAAGAACAGAATTAGAACTCAGTGTGGAGAATACAAGCTTCATTCAGAAGTGCGCTAATAACTGGTTATGGATTATAAAAATCTCTTTCTCTTATGCCATATTCAATGAAGACGGTATGTTTAATATACCATCATGGGATATTTAATTCCAGAAAGAAAAGAAGCCTTTCTTAGAGCACTCCACTGGGCTATCCAACCACTGTTATGTTAACTTCAACTGAGGGCTGAGAGATTATGGAGGACTTGCACTCTAAGCAAAAGTGTCATGGAAATTGAGAAAACAAAGTCATAGGCAATATCCTTCTGTCAAACCATTAACACTCTGAATCCAAAGTCAAGATAATGGATCTGTTTTTTCATTTTAACCAAACTGGTTATAGTAGCAACTTAGGCTATAGTAACTCTGCATTCCAATCTAGTCAGTTTCCATTATTAAATACACTCAGGATAAATAGCTTCCCCTCCCCACCAAAACTCATTCCTTCGCTTTTTATATTCTTTCAACAACTATTGATAGCCAACTAGAGTTACTGAACAGCAAAGTCACATTGACCTCAAACTTCAGATGAACATAGGTCTTTGCACTGGCAATTCCCTGCACAGAATATTCTTCTCCAGATGTGGGGAAAAGAAAGAGAGATCGGACTGTTACTGTGTCTATGTAGAAAAGGAAGACATAAGAAACTCCATTTTGATCTGTACCATGGCTGGGCACGGTGGCTCACGCCTGTAATCCCAGCACTTTGGGAGGCCGAGGCGCGCGGATCACAAGGTCAGGAGATTGAGACCATCCTGGCTGACATGGTGAAACCCCGTCTCTACCAAAAATACAAAAAATTAGCCAGGTGTGGTGGCACGTGCCTGTAGTACCAGCTACTCAGGAGGCTGAGGCAAGAGAATCGCTTGAACCCGAGAGGCGAAGGTTGCAGCGAGCCAAGATTGCACCACTGCACTCCAGCCTGGGTGACAGAGCGAGACTCCATCTCAAAAACAAAAACAAACAAACAAAAAAAGATCTGTACCCTGAACAATTGTTTTGCCTTGAGATGCTGTTAATCTGTAACTTTAGCCCCAACCCTGTGCTCACAGAAACATGTGTTGTATGGTATCAAGGTTTAAGGGATCTAGGGCTGTGCAGGATGTGCCTTGTTAACAACATGTTTACAGGCAGTTTGCTTGGTAAAAGTCATCACCATTCTCCATTCTCGATTAACCAGGGGCACAATGCCCTGCGGAAAGCTGCAGGGACCTCTACCCAGGAAAGCCGGGTATTGTCCAAGGTTTCTCCCCAATGAGACAGCCTGAGATATGGCCTCGTGGGACGAGAAAGACCTGACCGTCCCCCAGCCCGACACCCATGAAGGGTCTGTGCTGAGGAGGATCAGTAAAAGAGGAAGGCCTCTTGCGGTTGAGGTAAGAGGAAGGCCTCTGCCTCCTGCATGCCCCTGGAAACGGAATGTCTCGGTATAAAACCCGATTGTACATTTGTTCTATTCTGAGATAGGAGAAAACCACCCTGTGGCTGGAGGCGAGATATGCTGGTGGCAATGCTGCTCTGTTATTCTTTACTACACTGAGATGCTTGGGTGGAGAGAAGCATAAATCTGGCCTATGTGCACATCCAGGCATAGTACCTTCCCTTGAACTTATTTGTGACACAGATTCCTTTGCTCACGTTTTCTTGCTGACCTTCTCCCCACTATCACCCTGTTCTCCTGCCGCATTCCCCTTGCTGAGACAGTGCAAATAGTAAACAATAAATACTGAGGGAACTCACAGACTGGTGCCGGTGCAGGTCCTCCATATGCTAAGTGTTGGTCTCCTGGGCCCACTGTTCTTTCTCTATACTTTGTCTCTGTGTCTTATTTCTTTTCTCAGTCTCTCGTCCCACCTGACGAGAAACACCCACAGGTGTGGAGGGGCAGGCCACCCTTCATCCAGGTATCTGTGGAATTAACTTTCCTGCCCTTCAATGTCACCTTCTTAATGTCACTTATAACAGATCCCCCAATCGTGCTATCTTTAATTAGCACTAATAATCTAAGATACCACATAATGTACTTTTAATACACATTAGTCCCTCACTAGTAATATTTCTACTAGTAGTATTTCTAGTAGTGAGGGTTTAATCTGTATTAAAAGTACACTATATAGTATCTTAGATTATTAATGCTAATAATAATAAAAAGCAGGAATGTCTATTTGTTCACTGATGAATATTAAGCTCCTAGAACAATTTGCACACTGTGCTCAGTATTCAGAGTGAATTAATATTCTAATGTTTCTATTAGAAAATATTTGAAATTCCAGGCCGGGCGCGGTGGCTCACGCTTGTAATCCCAGCACTTTGGGAGGCCGAGGGGGGCGGATCACGAAGTCAGGAGATCGAGACCATACTGGCTAACACGGTGAAACCCCATCTCTACTAAAAATACAAAAACAAAATTAGCCGGGGGCGGTGGTGGGCGCCTGTAGTCCCAGCTACTCGGAAGGCTGAGGCAGGAGAATGGCATGAACCCGGGAGGGGGAGCTTGCAGTGAGCCAAGATCGCGCCACTGCACTCCAGCCTGGGTGACAGAGTGAGACTCCGTCACACACACACACAAAAAAAAAAAAAAATTGAAATTCCAGACAACTAAACATAAATTTTAGAACATAATTAGTTAAGGTCATTGAAAAAAAAAAATTAACTGATGCTGGGGCTGGGTGCGGTGGCTCATGCCCGTAATCCCACCATTTTGGGAGGCTGAGCCTGGCGGATCATTTGAGGTTGAGAGTTCAAGATCAGTCTGGCCAACATAGTAATACCCCGTCTCCACTTAAAAAATATACAAAAATTAACCAGGCATGGTGGGACATGCCTGTAATTCCAGCTACTCAGGAAGTTGAGGCAGGAGAATCCCTTGAACCTGGGAGATGGAGGTTGCAGTGAGCCATGATCGTGCCACTGCACTCCAGCCTGGGCAACAGAGCAAGACACCGTCTCAAAAAATAAAAAAATAAAAAGTACTGCATTCTCTACTAGTTTCACAAGTCACTTGACTTTCCAACGCTTTAAGGATACTTCTTTTATAAGCCCGAATGTACTGCACTAAACTTAGTAGGAGATCCCTGATTGTCCATTATAATTGATCAATTAACTGAAATTACACAAGTAAACAAAAATGCCAGATGTCTGCCTACATATAATATTTATAAATCTGAATTTTATTTCATATATGGATGGAAGTTAAGGCCTTAACCGGTCAGCCTCCTTCCAGTGTTTTACCCTCCATTTTACCCTAAAAAAGGATAATCAACTGTTAACGCATATTCATAATGTGAAGTTTCCAGGATCAAGAATCCAAGAGGTTTTTTATTAACCATAATAAATCCAAACTTCTATCTTCCATATGCCTCCTTCTATTATATCTAACCTTCTATTCTCTCCAAAAGCATATAATTATGCCTGTTTCCTTACTGTGCCACAAACAGACTAACACATACTACCACGGAGCTGTTTATTTTCCAAACGGGATATCTTTTTCCATTCTCTCATTCAACATCCAACGGTCCATCAAGGCCCAACTCAAAACCTATTATTCTCCACAAAGCCCATTATATAAACCCTACAAGACTTAAAACAGATTCCAAACTAGTGACTGATAGGCCATATGAGACTTGTGTTTGACCCACTTTTTTTTTTTTAATAAAATTCTATTCCACTGACAACATTTAAAAACTGGGAGAGGATGCTTTTTAAAAAATGGTATTTCCAACTTTTTTTGAAAAAATTAGATGTTCTGGCAAAACTGGGATCATATTCTCACATAGCCACAATCAGCTGTAGCTGAGTGGCAGGTGACCCCTTCTAAGGGTGAAGTATTCATTAACGTTAACTGCCTGATCTCTGCAGCATACCTTCAGCACCTGCAATCATTCAAGAAATAACTGACTGTCTTATGTGCCAAGAACTGTATTAGCTACTGGAGTTACAAAGATAAACGAGACAAACACAGTCCCTCACCGACAGTCTCGCTTAGTAGGGATGGCAAAGAAGCAATTAAGATACATGTGATAAATGCCGTGAGGGAAGTGCAGGACAGCTAAGAGTACATAGCAAAAATACCTAACTCTATGGAAGTTAGGGTATACCCCTCAAGTAAAGTGACAGCTAAACTCAGATCTTTAATAGAAGTTATCCAGAAAAAGATAGGAGGAAACAGGGAGCTCAAATGTCCCAGAGAGAGAAAAGAGCCTTTGTGAAGATACTGAGGGAAGAAAGTATTCTGAGGAATTGAAATCCGTTCAACATGGCTACAGCCATGCCCAACCTTTAAATGCAGGGTCAGAGAAAGGGCTCAACTGAAATGGCTGGCAGGAAAATCTACGTGTTATCAATAGTTAAGGTTAGGAGATGAAGGAGAATTTCACTAAAGAAGTTGAATATGTAAAATAGTTTAAGCAGGAAATAGAGGTTTCAGAAAGCACAGATGGGGTGTTGAGGGGTTAAATGGGGAAGAAACGAAGAAGCAGTGATAGCCTAAGTCGAAAGAAAGCACAAAGCAGCATGGAAATGAGACTATAGCACAGAAGACCACAGAAGCTTACATCTTGGGCGGTAACCAAGGATAACAGAGATGTAAAGCATGGTAAGTTTGGCTGGCCACAAGTATGCCTAGAGAATTAGTGCCAGCGGTCTCCTGTCGGCCACGGAGGCATTCAGGCCTCTCAAAATTCAGCTGCGCCCTGGATGGATTGTACTTCCGTCTCTATAGAAGACATCGGCTTCACTCTGGATTGATTGTGCAGGCTCCAGGAGAGGCTGTGGGTTCCAGGCTGCTGGAACGCAGGCTCCCAGGGAGTGGTTAGAGGCCTGGTCTGTATGTGCTGGTAGGCAGAAGTATAAATTACCTTGCATTACGTTCTGATTTTTCTGTAGGAATGGTGGGCATGTTATGGCCTCTTAGAGAAAAAGCAGTGCGTAGCCATTATAGATTTACAGGAAGAGAAAAGGTGCCAAGAAGATCAACACTTGTCCATACCCATACTAAAGATGAGTCATTCTGTGAATCCAACTCTCCCCAAGTTGACCTCGTCTCCCCAACTAGACTGAGATCTTCACCAGAAAACAAAACAAAACAAAACATAAAAGGTCTGTTTATTTTGTAGTTCCCAAAGTGCCTAATAGCTGGGTACCGTGAACACCTTCAGTAAAATTACCGACTTCCTGACTCCTCTCGGGTCACTGAAGTTACCTAGCTCAGTCGTCTTCTTGCATATTAAGGCGCTACAGAGAGGCGAACCCCTATCTTAGACTCAATACTTCCCTTTATTCCAAACTCCACTGCGTCTCTCCACCCTCAACCGCATGGGCAGAATTGTCACACAATTCAAAGGCAGGAGAATCCAGGACCCGACACAGAAAACTCCCGCCCACTCCCCCCCGTTTAGCAGCCCGCACACGCTCTGCATCCATCTCTGGGAAAGGTAAAAAGCGCTCACCGACTCTGGCCCTCCGGGAGACCCCGTAAATGCAGCCGTCCGCTCGCCGCCGTTATCCCAGGTAGGTACTTCCGGCGCGCGCAATGACGTTAGCGAAGCGCTCGCCTCTGGGCCCGCCTTCGGGGCCCGGATCTCAAACAGTCGGGAAGAAGCACCGTGGCTGCTATTATCTGCTCTCCGCGCCTGACCCCTCCCAGGACTCGTGATGCCAAGGCCGCTGCGAGCGGCTACGAAGAGTCGGGGTTGAGCCCCAGCTGAGCCGAGGGCTCGCACTCTTCTGGTCTCCCAGGCCCAACCCACCTGAAGGTAAACGCCTCCTCAGCTGCGGCCTTCTCTCCTGCGGGGCCCCCTCCCCAGACTCGGCTGCCAAAACGCTCTGCCCCTCTCTCCCGCCACCCTTTTTATTCCAGGACCTTAACCTCTGCCTGCCTTCGCGGCTCTCAGCAGAACGTGTAACGCATAGTTTCAAATGAGAAACTTAAAAAGCGACGTATCTATGTTGAGTTCCTGAAGTTTTCTAAATAATTCCCCCATAACACCAAACATGAGGCAGTTTTCTCATTCCTTCACGAATTGGCATGCCATAGAGTCAGTATTTTTCCATTTGTGATGGTTGATCTTCCCATCTCAAATACACACCGCACGCTCTTTTTAAATCAGAAATTTGAATTTGGTTGAGCCTGATATTTTCACGGTAATTTGCTGACTTTGTAAGATAAGATGTGAAAATTACTGATTACATTTGTAAACTTTATATACATATACACACATACCTACAGGTCTGTCTCTTCGAGGCACCAAGCCTATTTATATAATGTATCATTTCATAATTTGGCAATAAGCAAAATTAGCGTTTCGAAAGAAGTTTATATTGTCGATACATAAAGCTTAAATTTACTCCTTAACATCATACTAAAAGGGGAAAAGAAAATTTTCCTCTTAACACACCACTCCAGAGAAAAAAAATATTAAGACAAGCAAAAAAGGTACCCAGCCATAGTACAGGCATGCACAGCATAACAACTTTTTGATTAACAACAAACCACATATACCACAGTGGTCTCCTAAGAGTGTAATACATTGTACCATATTTTTAGTGTACGTTTTCTGTGTTTAGCTATGTAAATATTTACCATTGTGTTTCAACTGTCTACATTATTCACTACATTAACATGCTGTACAGGTTGTAGCCTAGGAGCAATAGGCTAGACCATCTAGGTTTGTCTCAGTACACCCTGTGATGTCTGCACTGTGAAATCACGTAACACTCAGAACATACCTCCTTCATTAAGCATAGCATGACTGTGTATTAGCAAAAATCAGTGGCTAAGGTTCTGTCTGAGTCCCCATGCTCTTTCTGACCTGGGTGAGCAAGGTGCAGGTAATGTACATATACAGTACATATTCAATAGAGCATTTTTTTTGCTCATGGTCTGAGTGGAAGTTAGGAGTAGCCTCAGGGTTTTTCCTTCATCTGTTCAAAACCCGTCTCCCTACCCATACAATCTGGCACTGAAAGTGTTGGTATAAAGAATACTTGAAAGAAGAAGAACCAAAAAAGAATTTTTTTTAAGTGGTGACTGGGAAAAAGGAATTCCTTAATTCAGCCTGCTGGAGTCATTGTTCCTAACTTCCTAAAATGTAAGGAAGGTGTACACATCTGGCATAATTAAATCGGTGATTGTTAATACTTTATTGGTTTTTGTTTTTTGTTTTTTTCCAAATAATACCCAGACTGGTCTGATGTATTGGTTTTATTTGGAATTAATAATACTTGGTTTAGGCCAGGTGTGGTGATTCATGCCTGTAATCCCAGCACTTTGGGAGGCTGAGGCAGGTGGATCATTTGAGGTCAGGAGTTCAAGACCAGCCTGACCAACATGGTGAAACACTGTCTCTACTAAAAATACAAAATTAGCCAGGCATGGTAGTGGATGCCTATAATCCCAGCTACTCGGGAGGCTGAGGCAGGATAATTGCTTGAACCTGGGAAGCAGAGGTTGCAGTGAGCCGAGATCACGCCATTGCACCCCAGCCTGGGCAACAAGAGGGAAACTCCGTCTCAAACAACAAAAAAAGAATCCTGGTTTAGACTGATTGCTGATAAGTTTGTTTTCACTTTTAGAAATGAGTGGTGGATTGGCTCCAAGTAAGAGCACAGTGTATGTATCCAACTTGCCTTTTTCCCTGACAAACAATGACTTGTACCGGGTAAGTAAATCTTATCGAGTGACTGCTATTTGAGATACAGATAACCTTAAGCAAATAGTTCTCCCTGGCAAATTCTTTTTTCCTTTTTTTTTTTTTCTTTTTTTGAGACAGTCTAATTCTGTCACTGAGGCACGAGGCTGTAGTGCAGTGGCACTATCATGGCTCACTGCAGCCTCCCCGCCCCCTCAGGTGATCCTCCCACCTCATCCTCCCAAGTAGCTGGGAATACAGGTGTGTGCCACCATGCCTCTACAAGCTACCTGGGAGACTGAGGTTGGAAGATTGCTTGAGCCTAGGAGGTCGAGGCGACAGTGAGCCAAGGTCACACCACTGCACTCCAGCCTGGGTGACAGAATGAGACCCTGTCTCAAAAAAAAAAAAGAAAAAAAAATAGAAGCTATATTTATTGAACATTTAAGTCAAATTATGTGTTAGATACTAAGGAGATGCTAAGATGTTAGGTGCTAAGGAGAAAAAATAACGCAGGAAAGGTGGGCTATTGAACGTTAAGTTGGGAATGGAAGTGAAATTTTACATAGGGCGGTCAGAAATGCCATTATTGAGAAGGTGACTTTTGAATAAAGACCTGAAACGAGTAAGAGGCACCTGTGCAAATTCTAGAGGACAAACATTTCAGAAAAAGAGGGGTAATCTTAGGTAAGCCCACTCGAGGTGCCTTATACGACCTATTTACATCATGGTAAGGACTCTGGCTTTCACTCTGCATGAAACAAGAAGCCATTAGTAAGTATTATATAGAAGACTGTACTGGCCTTCAGAACCCAGTGTTGCTAACACTGCTATCCAGTTATTTTACATTCCAGCATTATACAGCTTAATCATAGAACGAAAAAATTCGTTATTATTGGTTGCATATACTAACACATTCTAAAAGACTTTTTATATAATAGGAACTCTTAGTATATGGGTAATGAGCTGGAACTGTAGAAATAAATGAGATTGCATAGGATAAAGTAAAAGTAACAGAAGAGAGAGCCAAGTATAAAGTTCCACCAACATGTTAATGGTGGGCAGAGGAAGAAGACTGATAGAAATGGATTTTTCATTATAAAAGCTTATTTTATGAGGTTTTGTTTTGTTTTTTAAATAAAGCAGTCTAAGGATTTGCCTTCTCAAACAGGGATTGCTTAATAGGAATAACAAGGTAGTGGTGAGGGTAGAATTGGAAAAGTGCTGCTCCATAAGATTGACATTTGAAGCACAGGTGTATCTGGCACTATGATGGAGTTGATAGTTGCCATGGGTATACCTCAGGAACACAGCAGCTGTCCAGTATGTATGCCTTAGATCTACCACATGTGTAGAGTGAGTTTTTTTCTCTGTATTTACTCCATTGTCAAATTTAGAAACAGACAGATACATGTGACTCCAACAACAGTAAGTATATTATTCTAGTAACCAAAAAAAACTTTTTCCTAGGGCCTGTCTTATAGACTGAAGGCTGAAATTATTCATAAACTGTAACAAAGAATTTGGTCAATGTCTGCAACCTAAAAATTTGATGTTTTATGATTTTAAAATAAATTGTAAATATTTGGTCTTTTGTTTCAGATATTTTCCAAGTATGGCAAAGTTGTAAAGTAAGTATTCACATTAAATTTTGTAACTTCATTTAAAAGTTTATCTGAATTTGCTTCTACATTTTTTTAATGACAGATTTTTAAAAATAAAACATGCTTGATATAATAAAGAAAATACTATTAACATTTTTATGACAATTTAGTTGGTTTTCCATGTACATAAACATGTAGACAATTTTTCTTAAAGACTATTACATACATACAATTTTCTTTTCTTTTTTAATTTGACATACCATAAATGTCTTTCCATGTGCTATAAAGATACATCCTCATAGCTAATGGTAAACAAATATTTTGGTTACTAGGAAGTGTGTTATCAAGTATACTATAAGTAACCTACTTTCAAATAAATAGGTGGTTTTTTGTTTTGTTTTTTTTCATATAAATAGTGTAAAAACAAATATTTCAGTGCATCTGACTTGCAGGATGCTATGAGTCTTTTAAATAGAAAACATATTATCTTCCTTCAGAGATAGCTTGGAGATCGTTGGAAAGACTAGAAACATGCAAAAATGGTAATGGATGATAACAGGGCTGAGGGTTAGGAACAATAAAAAGAACTTGAACTTCTCGTATTTCACTGTTTTAAATCAAGCAACTATATTATGGGGCAAAAAAGTAACAGGATACTGTCATCCTAACTTTCTTGTAACCAATATAGATTCTGATATAAATTTAAAATCCCAAGAATTTTGAGCATATTTATCTTGGCTAATTTCTTCTAGTGTTCCATAAATGGATATTAAACAGTTGAAGCTCTTTTGCATCTTGAAATTACTAACTTCTTTTACAGTTACTTTGCTATTAAAAAAGCATTATCAAAAATGCTTCTGTGTAAATTTTTGGGTGTTCAGATTTTAAAAAGTCATTGTCATCAGTCCAAACACTGGTAATGATGATGGTATGTGATACTTAAATGAGCACATATATATGCCAGGCATTGTTCTAATCTCTTTATGTGTATTATTTAATTCTCACAACTACCCTTTAAGGTAGGTACTATTATCATCTCAGTATTATACATGATGAAACTGAAGCACACAGTAAACCTAAGGTCATCTTGCTAGCTAGTGGTGGAGAAAATATTTGAATCCAACAGTGAGATTTCAGAGCCCACTCCCTTTTACCTTTTTTCTTTTTCCACTTTGTTAGAATCTCTGAATGGATCTCCATATAAATATATAGTCCTAAACCATGAAACTGCAATGGAGTTAAAGACACGAGAGTTATAAGCACCTAGAAACAGGGAAGACTATCTAGTCTAGAGAGCCAGGGAAGGCTTACCTAGGTCAGTATTTTTTGAGTGGAAACCTAAAGGATGAGTAAGAGTTAAGTAGGCAAAAATAAGGGAGGAATATTTCAGGTAGAGGGAATAGCTTGTGCAAAGGCCCTGTGGCAAGAGAAAATAAAGTGAGATCAAGAAATAGAAAGAAGGCCAATGTGACTGGAGATGAGTGAGTAAGGGGGAGAAAGCACAAGGTGGCTCCAGAGATGGAAGCAGGTTCCTCATCTTACTTCTTGGTCAGGTTACCAAGGTATTTGGTTTTCATTCTAAGAATATCAGGAATCATTTAAGAATTTTAAGTGAGGGGTGACATGATTTAAATTTTTTAAAGTTTATTCTGGCTTAATGTAGAAATTAGATTGGAGGGGAACAAAAGCAAATGCAGCTGGGTGCAGTGGCACACACCTGTAATCCCAGCACTTTGGGAAGCCGATGTGGGAGGATCACTTGAAAGGTCATGAGTTCAAGACCAGCCTGGCCAACATGGAGAAACCCCATCTCTACAAAAAATACAAAAAGTAGCCGGCCCTGGTGGTACACACCTGTAATCCCAGCTGCTTGGGAGGCGAGGCATGAGAATTACTTGAACCCAGGAGGCGGATGGAGGTGGAGGTTGCAGTGAACCAAGATCACACCACTGCACTGCAGCCTGGACAGAGCAAGACCCCATCGCAAAAAAAAGAAAAAAGCAAATGCAGTGAGACCAGTCTGAATCTAAAACTGTAGCCCAGGGGAGAAATGTGTACTAAAATAGTACAGGTGGAGATATAGAGACTGGTCAGATTTGAGAGGTGGTCAGATTTCAGAGATCATTATGAAATAAAGTGGGTAATAGTGATGTGTATAGGAAGCAAAGTGGGTACTATTTAGTGATATGCTTACTTTGCGTATAAGGACTTTGTGAACAAGAAGGAGGTGTTATGGATGACATTCAGGTTTCCCAAAATAGTGTATGCTTCATATTATGTGCTTAAATAAGTACATCATATACCTTATATTAGGAAATGGTGCTATTATCTACCTCTTTTCCCTTGCCAGAAACATGGGAGTCACAGTAGATTTGTCCTTTTAAATCTCTGATGTAATTTTTTTTTTCTGTTACCACAGAAGGTATCTCTATCAAAGTATTGTATGATAGTTGGTTTGTTGGTCTGTCTCTACCACTAAACTGTAAGATTTCTCCTGAGGGTAAAAACTACTGTTAGTGCTTAGCACATGGGCTTGAGGCTAACAGAGTGACTGAGTGACCGAATGAATGAACACACACAATGTACTCTTTTAGAAACTACTTTTCCCATTTTTTTGGTCTGTCTTTCCCATTGAATATAAAGGTATATCTATCAATCAACATATTGAGCTGGGCACATATGGATTACAGAGACAGCCTTAAAGGAGTTTACATTAAAATAGATGAGATGAGGCATTGTTTATGAATAACACAATTCAGCAGAGACTAGCATAACGGAGGAGAAATTATATCCAGTTGAAGCTATTAGAAACTGACACATTGACCTGAACCCCGAAAGAATGAGGAAAATTTTAATGAGCAGTGATTCAGAGGTGGAAGAAGATAGAAGCTGTATGAACAAAGGCACAAATTTGGGGAAATACAGGCCATGCTACTGGAGCATTGAGTGGTTTCTTTTGGGTAGACTTCATAGTGTGTGCGTGGGAAGGAGCAGTGAAAGATGAAGGAGATGGGAGCCAAATCATCAAGGATACTGACAGTGGGACAAAGAATAGGCAACTTACAGAACCAAAGATTTTTGAACAAAGGAATGGTGTGATTTTATTTATTCCTTAAGTAGAAGACTACTTAAGGATATGAGAAAATTATAAGAGAAAAAATTACCATAAAGGAACCAATAAGAATAGACTGTTAAAACAGTAATGCCCCTATGGACAAGAAAAAAGCAGTGGAATTGGAAAAGAGGCAACAGATGAGAGATCATTAATTGAGGATGATGTAGAAAGCCAATACTTCTTTTGAAATACTACTTTAAAAAAAAAGACTGATAACTTTCACAAACATTACGAAAAATTCCAAAACATAAAGCAACTACCTTATTCAATATTTCTGTCAAATTGGTGATTTTTCCAACTCCAGCATTCCCTCTACATTCACCAGTCATCCCTTGGCATTCTGTTGTAAGCAAGAGCCTTCCCTCCCATCTCCTCCACTTATTTATTGGTCTTTTATCAGTAAGAATTATAAATTCCTACCTTCTCTGTGGCTTATAATTTATTACTGTAATGAATTATTTTGATGCTCAAATTGTCCTTGATTTGGCCAGTGGGAGCTCCTTCCAGCTGGCTGCTGTATTCTTGGCCCCATCATTCATTCATTCATTCCTCCCTCCGTCTCTCTCTCTCTCACTCGCTCACGCACTCTTGCACTCTCTTACCTTCTGGCATAAGATGTTCCAAGCTCCTCTTGTACCTGCCCTGCTGTAGCCTTGGAATCCGCTATTTCTCCAAAGAGCCCTGTTGAACATTGTTTTTAAACTATGTTAAATGACATACGGTGGGCAAGGGCCTCCATGACTAGGGATGTGGATGGGGCAGGAGAAAGAGCAGGCTCTGTGCTCTCATAACTCTCCTTGTCACTCAGGTACACCCTGGTGGGTGGTATGGCTAAAAACCACAGAACTGGAGATTCTTTTTCCCTAAAGATCGGGGTCTCATTATGTTGCCCAGGCTGTTCTCAAACTCCCATGCTCAAGCATCCTCCTGCCTCTGCCTCCCAAGTAGCTGGAACTACAGGTGCGCACCACCACAACCAGCTCTGGAGGGTTTTTTTCCTTATTTTTCTGAAGATTCTTTAAAAGAATATTAAGAATATACTTTGATTCTAACACTTAGAAAAATAAATAAATCATTTTACTTTTTGTGTAAAGTATACCTTTATTTTGTTTTGTTTTGCAAGGTGAGGGAGTTAGCATGGAAGAGGGATTGTGGTTACACTTTAAGATTTCATTGTCTCTGTAATTTCTTTACTTCACCCTTCAATCTCTGATTAACTCCTAATCATAGCTGTGCTCACTTCTGTTAAATCAGTATCACCCTTTCCCATTTCCATTCTTGATATCCCTTGACTTTGAAGAGATAGCTGATTTTTCAAATGTATTAATTTATCTTATAAATTTTTAGCCCTTTTTAAAATGAATTTTTCAAGTATTAGTATCTGTTTTATTTATTGCTGCCTCATTTTTAACTCTTTGTTTATGCTTTAAGGGTTACCATCATGAAAGATAAAGATACCAGGAAGAGTAAAGGGGTTGCATTTATTTTATTTTTGGATAAAGACTCTGCACAAAACTGTACCAGGGCAATAAACAACAAACAGGTAAGCTATTCATCTCCATCAAGGTTTTTAGCCCCAAAGCCTTTATGCTCATCCAGGCCAAAAATGTGGGGATATAGTGGATCATCAGGTCTAGCAGATATCAGTAGATTCTTAAGATATCTAACTTATAGAAAGAAAAGAGGTCAAACTACTGGGTTCTCAAAACATTGGTGGAATCTCAGGAATAAGAATACTACAGAATAGAATTTATCACACCTAAGTGACAATTGCTAAAAAATCCAAAATAAACTGGAATTGAAGATTTGAGAAAATTGATTAAATAATTAATTTTAGGTTTCAGTGAAATACATTCTACATTTACATTTTTCTCTTGTTTAGTTATTTGGTAGAGTGATAAAAGCAAGCATTGCTATTGACAATGGAAGAGCAGCTGAGTTCATCCGAAGGCGAAACTACTTTGATAAATCTAAGTGTTATGAATGTGGGGTAAGTAAACCTAAAACTTAATGGAACTTTCCATAGTTTAAGATACTTTTCACATCAGTCTTTTATTTTTGCTCACCAAAACTTCTGACTGGCTAAACCAGATTATGAAAATGCTTTATTTTTTAATATTTATTTTTTTGAGATAGGGTTTTCCTCTGTCACCCAGTGCAGTGATGCAGTCACAACTCACTGCAGCCTCTACCTCCCGGGCCCAACTGATCCTCCCACCACAGTGTCTGAGTAGCTGGGACCACAGGCATGCACCATCACACCCTGGTTAATTTTTAAATTTTTTTGTAGAGGCAGGGTCTTCCTATGTTGCCCAGGCCAATCTCAAACTCCTGGGCTCAAGCAGTCCTCCCACCTCAGCCTCCCAAAGTGCTAGAGTTACAGGTGTTAGCCATGGTGCCTGGCCTAGTTGTTAGGGTCTCTAAACTCATCAAAGTAAATTCAATTGAAATGCAATGTGTAAAGATAACCTGAGTTGGGTAATACAAAGTGGTATTTTCTCTAGTTCCTAAATCTTTGAAAATCACTAGTTTTAAAAGTGTTAGACTGATTACTTATGTCACTGTCTTGCAAGATTTTCGTAACTCATAAATTTTTGTTAATAGGATATTGCCTGTTTCTTTAACAGTTTTTAAGTCACAGTTCAATAGCAACATTATCATGTGACTTTATCCTCTATGGGATATTGTGTTTTGAAGTTTTTTATTTTTTCCTATTAGTATTGCTAGTGTTTTGTAACTGAACTATCCCCACATTTTCTTCTTTGGTTCTCTTCATGATCTGTCATTATCCATTTAAAGTTTTGGTGATGAAGAGAGAGAGACAGCCATAGAATAATTTTGTATAAGGTCTGTATTGGTACCAAGAGAATTTTAGTCTGGTTCTCACAGGTGTAAGTTTGTAAAATGACCATAAAAATACTTAAGAAACAGGCCGGGCACAGTGGCTCACGCCTGTAATCCTAGCATTTTGGGATGCTGAGGTGGACGGATCACTTGAGGTCTGGAGTTCAAAAGCAGACTGACCAACATAGTGAAACTGAGTTTCTACTAAAAATACAAAAAAAAAATTAGCCAGGCATGGTGGCAGGTGCCTGTAATCCCAGCTACTTGGAAGGCTGAGGCAGGAGACTCGCTTGAACCCAGGAGGTGGAGGTTGCAGTGAGCCGAGATTACTCCACTGCACTCCAGCCTGGGCAACAGAGGGAGACTCTGTCTCAAAAATAAAAATAAACATAAAATAAAATACTTAAAAAACAGAGTCCAGAGGTAGTAATGGGGAACTGGGGAGAGAATCACTGAAAGATACCGTCCTGGCTACAAAATCACATGGAAGATGCAAGGAAATGGCTTGAGGTCCTCTACCCCACTGTCACTCCCCATACCCCCGACAAAAAAGATAACTAAATAAACAGACTGATGGATGGATGAATAGAAAGAGTGAGCAAGCAGTTGCTTGGATACATACTGATTCTGTCAATTCCTATGATTCTAAAACCTCTTAAGTAAACACTTTAGAAACTTTTCCAAAGTTTTGAGTTTTGTAAAAGAAAGAAAGGGAGGGAGGGAAGGTAGTTATATTCAGATTAGTATATATCTTCATATTCACAGTAAATATTAAATTATCTGAGAAATCCTAGATGAATCTGTTAATCGGTTCCTTTTGGTTTATGGATCCATAGAGTTGTTATATTTTTTACATTTTTATATTTAATTTCCCTCCCTCCAAAAAAAACTTTTTTATATTGACCTAGCCTGGTTTTTCTCAAGTTATTTCATTAAATCCTTTTTTAGTATGGGATATGTTAATTTTTTTTTGCTATAATATTATTCCAAAACAGTTTCAGATATGTGTCTCTATTTTCTCAGCAGCTCATTAACAGTAAGTAACCTCTTTAAGTTGGGCTATGTCCTAGGTATACAAAGTGCACAGTCTGTCTGCTCTGTCAAATATACTGGAAAAGCATGATTATTGTTCCCTTCTATTGTTCTAACCTTGGCTCAGTCCCCACACCCTACCCTGACATAACCTCTTAAATGGAATTGTAGTGAGCTGATGTCCAGATTATAGTTGAGCTCTTATGTTTTACAAATCAATGTTCTAGCTAAGTAGGAATAATAGCCTAGTCCAGCATTGTCAAATGAGAATATAATGCAAGCCACGTATGTTACTAAGTCTTCAGAAATCCAATGTGTATTTTACCTTTACAGTACGTATCAATTCAGACAAGTTCTCAGTAGCCACATTGGCTGGCTAGTGACTACTGTAATTGGATAGTGCAAGTGTAGTCAGGATATAAAAGGGAAAAAACGGAAGTAATTCATAGGAAAAGTGAGGAAGAAATTTTCCATTTGTTTTTTGGTTTTTTGTTTGTTTTTTGAGACAGGGTCTTGCTCTGTTGCCTAGGCTGGAGTGCGGTGGCACAATCTCAGCTCACTGCAGTCTCTGCCTCCCGCGTTCGATCAATTCTTGTGCCTCAGTCTCCTGAGTAGCTGGGATTACAGGCATATGCCACCAAGCCCAGCTAATTTTTGTATATTTAGTAGAGACAGGGTTTCCCCATGTTGGCCAGGCGGGTCTTGAACTCACTTCCTAAGGTGACCCACCTGCCTCAGCCTGCCCAGCCCAACAGAGTATTAAGCAACATCTTGGAAATTAACAGGAATAGTTTTATCCTCGTTTTATCAATAACTTAAGATGTTTACATTTAGGGTAAATGATCCATTTAAATTTTGATTTTTTTTTTTTGAGACGGAGTTTTGCTCTTGTCACCCAGGCTGGAGTGCAACGGAATGATCTCAGCTCACTGCAACCTCCACCTCCTGGGTTTAAGCAATTCTCCTACCTCAGCCTCCTGAGTAGCTGGGACTACAGGTGTGTGCCACTTATGCCCAACTAATTTTTTTTTTTTTTTTTTTTTTTTTTTTTTTTTTAGTAGAGACGGGATTTCACCATTTTGGTTAGTCTGGTCTCAAACTCCAGACCTCAGGTGATCCACCCACCTCGGCTTCCCAAAGTGCTAGGATTACAGGCGTGAGCCACCGCGCCCGACCAAACTGTTTTATATCTTGAATTTTGAGATTTAAATGTTTGAAAGAAGACTACTACCACTACTCTTAGTAAAACTACTAAATAGTCCTAAATGTTAAAATAACTGAGAGTTATAATATCACCTTCTAAATATTAAAGTACTGGGTTTTATCATTAATGTCTTCTGTATAGTCCCAGTATGGGAATATTCCTTTTTAAATTTGAAAACTTTTTAGTAATAAGGTACCAGGCAAGTTTTTATAAATAACATCAAATATGGTATTTTTCCTTTCCTTTTTAATGGGAAACAAAAGGAAAGTGGACACTTAAGTTATGCCTGTCCGAAAAATATGCTCGGAGAACGTGAGCCTCCAAAGAAGAAAGAAAAAAAGAAAAAAAAGAAAGCTCCTGAACCAGAAGAAGAAATGTATGTATATTATTCTTACTAAATACATCATCATGTTGCTTTTGTCTTTTGGTTGGTTGCTTTTGATTATTGGTTGGTTACATTCCAATTTGTTTTTCTTTATTTAAGTGAGGAAGTAGAAGAAAGTGAAGATGAAGGGGAGGATCCTGCTCTTGACAGCCTCAGTCAGGCCATAGCATTCCAGGTATTAAATTGTTCTTTTAAAAGGCATCATACAATAGTTGACTTGGTTTATAGTGCTTGCTTACTTCATTGATCACCTCATGGCAACCTCTCTTTTTCCCCCTAACCTCCTAAGCCTTAGGAGACAAGCTGTTTCTCTGAGGTACTTAGCCAGTGTGAATGAAAAGTTCCCATTGGTTCTTCCTAGATTTTAAGGGCCCCACAACACTTACTATCTTAATCTTTTTTCATTAAAGAAATGAGCAGAACTATTTGCTCAAAGTGAATATAGCCCAACAGAAAAGATTTTTTTAAGAAATTGCCTAGGATAATTTTGTGTAAGATTTTGAGATGAGACAGAACTCAGGGGAAGGGAGCAGATCTTATTGTCTGCATGGACTGGGAGGGTGGGAAGTAATGGCATTTGTGGTATGTTTTTGCCATGTTTTGAATTAATGAACCATAAATAATATTAAACAGGTTATTGGTTTTGTTTTGTTTTTTGAATCACAGCAAGCCAAAATTGAAGAAGAACAAAAAAAATGGAAACCCAGTTCAGGAGTCCCCTCAACATCAGATGATTCAAGACGCCCAAGGATAAAGAAAAGCACATATTTCAGTGATGAGGAAGAACTTAGTGATTAAAATCTTGCCCCAGCACAGTAATAAAAATCAAGATTTGTTAGTAACAATCTTGAAGAGCTAATTTTAATAAAAATAAGAAAAATTAATACTATCATGTTAATACTATTATTGTCATCCCAAGAAAAAAGATATTTTAAAAATTTATTTGAAAAGTTCATTATAAGGGCTTTATTCATGCCTGATTTGTTTACATGAGGACTTCTGAAATTAATCCTTAAAACAAACTTCCTGAAGACCGAAAAGTTGAATGATTTATTGTTACTTATATTAATAAACTTTTCAAGAGAATTTTGTCTTTAAATATGGGTGTTTTGTCATCATATTTCTTGTAGCTTTATCCCAATCTGGATAAATTGTAAATACCTATAAAATAAATTATAAATACCTATAAAATATAAAGTAACATAGCTCTAAAAGGCTTAAAATCAAACACAGGTGTTATTTGTCTGCCCTACCCATAGCACCAAATTCCATTCCCTAGAAGAAACTACTTACATGTGCACACATGTAGCTAAATAAAGTACATATATTTCAGTCACTTAATAAAAGAATAAAGGAGAATTATTCAATCTCTTATACTTCTCCTACCTTCCTCAATATTCCCAATGTGGCTGTATTAAAAATTTGGGGGAATCCATATATATCTTTTTTAATAACCAAGTAAATACTTTTCATTTCTGAGCCAAGGAATATGCTATGATTACGTTTTTTCCTAGAGTTAATAATTGTCTATTTTTTTTCCATGTATTGTCTTTGTATTTATGACTAAATCTTCCCATTCTGTCTGCAGGTGGGTATATGGTAATGGGATTAGAGAGCCTTTAATTTTCTGCTTTGTATATTTCTATATTGTTTAACTTTGTAAGAATGCCCATTACTTTTTTAACTAGTAAAAGCAATAGAAATAAGTTAATACTATCATAGTAATATTATTATTGTCATCCCAAGAAAAAATATATTAAAAAGATATTTGAAATTTCATTATAAAATCTTGTGTTTCCACTTTGAAAACTACAAAGTGTTAACCACCCACCAGCAAAGAATCTTCCAGATTGCAACAAGACAATGATTGAATGCAGTACTCAACCATCTGTTTGGCCATTAGTCAAATACCACAACAGTTTTGGTTTGTTTTTTTTTTTTAATTTTTATTCATTTATTTATTTTTGAAACGAAGTCTCACTCTGTCGTCCAGGCTGGAGTACAGTGGTGCGATCTCAGCTCACTGCAACCTCCACCTCCCCGGTTCAGACCATTTTCCTGCCTCAGCCTCCTAAGTAGCTGGGATTACAGGCACGTGCCACCACACCCAGCTAATTTTTGTATTTTTTTAGTAGAGTTGGGGGTTTCACCATGTTGGTCAGGCTAGTCTCAAACTCCTGACCTTGTGATCCACCCGCCTCGGCCTCCCAAAGTGCTGGGATTACAGGCATGAGCCACTGTGCCCGGCCTACCATTTTAAAGCAAATAATTGGGAAAAGATTTGCCACAAATATATAAAAGTTTCTATGAATACCTGAAAACAGACTCTAATAGGAAATAAATTAGTGACAAATAGAATAGTTAGAAGATAAAATAGGCCAGGTGTAGTGGCTCATACCTGTAATCCCAACACGTTGGGAGGTCAAGACAGGAGGAGTGTTCGAGGCCAGGAGTTTGAGCCCAGCCTGGGGAACATAAGGAGACTGTCTTTACAAAAAATAACATTAGCCACTCACACCTGTTGTCCTAGCTACTTGGGAGGCTGAGGCGGGACAGCCTGGGAAACAGCATGATCCTGTCTTTAAAAAAAAAAAGTAAAAAAGTTTATCATTACTTATTAAGGAAATCTATTACAACCAGTGATACATCAATTTTAACCTAATTAGGAAAAAAACACTTCAGTGTTGGTGAGGATGGCATTAAAAGCACTTGTGGTATCGCATACATGCCCTGGATCAATTCTGAAGGGTAATTTAACAATAAATATCAAATGTTAAGTATGTTCTATTTTTTTAACTAGAAATTACATTCTATTTTATCCTAGGGTTCTAATCAGAAATGCAGGTATTTATTTATGTACAAACATATTATTTAAAATTCAAAACAATTGTCAGCCGGGCACGGTGGCTCACACCTGTAATCCCAGCATTTTGGGAGGCCAGGGCAGGTGAATCACTTGAGGCCAGGAGTTCGAGACCAGCCTGGCCAACATGGTGAAACCCCATCTGTACTAAAAATGCAAAAATTAGCAAGCCATGGTGACACATGCCTGTAATTCCAGCTACTCAGGAGACTGAGGCACAAGAATCGCTGGAACCAGGGAGGCAGAGGCTGCAGTGAGCCCAGATCGCACCACTGCACTCCAGCCCTGGGTGACAGAGTGAGACTCTGTCTCAAAAAAAGAAAAAAAGAAAAAGAATTGTCAACAGCAAATTAAAGCATGATGCATTCACAATAATAGATTATTAGGAAGCATTAAAATGTTTCAAAGAATTTTTAATTGTATGAGAAAACATTCCAGATACAATGTCAAGTGTAAAACACTTGCTATATATGGATACATATCTGCATATGGAAGGGGGAAATGCTCACTGCTAAAGTAGCAGTGCAGAATGGTTAAGAGTATGCTCTTTTTTTTGACAGATACACTTAGGTTTCTATGGCCATATTGCCACTTAAAGCTGCTGATCGTAGACGATTTACTTAACCTGAGTTATATGAAAACTAAGAAGGTTAAAGCAACACAGAAGGACAAATATTGTATGATACCACTTACATGAGGCACCTGGAATAGGCAACGTGAAATTCATAGAGACAGAAAATAGAGGTTACCAGGGTCTGAAGGGAGGTAGAAAGGGGGGCTATTTATTTAATGCATAGTTTCTGTTTCAGTTGATGAGAAGTTCTGGAAATGGCTAGTGGTGACGGTTGCTCAATACTGTGAATGTACCTAATGGCACTAAGTTGTACACATAAAAATGGGTAAAATGGGCCGGGCACAGTGGCTTATGCCTGTAATCCTAGCAGTTTGGGAGCCTGAGGCAGGCAGACAGCCTGAGCTCAGGAGTTCGAGACCAGCCTGGCCAACAAGGTAAAACCCCATCTCTACTAAAATAGAAAAAAATAGCCGAGTGTGGCAGTGTGCACCTGTAGTCCCAAATACTTGGGAGGCTGAGGCAGAAGAATTGCTTGAACCCGGGAGATGGAGGTTGCAGTGAGCCAAGATCATGCCACCACACTCCAGCCTGGGCGACAAAGCGAGACTCTGTCTCAAAAAAAAAAGGTAAATTTTATGTGATGTATATTTTATCACACACAAAAAAAAATATGCCTCAAGTGACAGGACTGCATAGAAAAAAATGTGCAAACATAACTAAAAATTTTTTGTGAAGTATAATTAGGCCAACAAGCCCTCCCCACAGCCCACCAAGTCATGCTGAACCATCACACCTGCAAGCCCCTTCCCTGCGATCTATGTCCAGGATAAGATTAAGATAGCTTTCCCACCTCAGGCAAGGGATTGGAGGGGTCCTTCCCCAGGAGAAAATACATACAGCTTGAGATATTAGCCCTAAAGAAAATGTTCAGTAATAAAGACCTCCAAGTTGATATGCCCAAGGCAGTGCTAGTGAAATATGCTCTGCTCAGCTTTTCAGTGCTTCACATTCAAATATGAACAGACACATAAGCATCAACAAACATTTGAGGAAAGCCTCTAATACAACGGAAACCCAAACAAGCATACCACAAAAGAGAGCTTTAAGAACAATTCTGGCTTTGAAAATCTATCTATCCCCTACGGTTTCAGAAAAAGAGACCGAACCTGTAAATTTGGTAGTTTCTTTTTTTTTTGAGATGGAGTCTCACTCTGTCACCAGGCTGGAGTGCAGTCGCACAGTCTTGGCTCACTGCAACCTCTGCCTCCCAGGTTCAAGCGATTCTCCTGCCTCAGCCTCCTAAGTAGCTGTGACTACAGGCACGCACCACCACACCCGGCTAATATTTGTATTTTTAGTAGAGACGGCGTTTCACCACGTTGGCCAGGATGGTCTCGATCTGCTTACCTCATGATCTGCCCGCCTTGGCCTCCCAAAGTGCTGGGATTACAGGCGTGAGCCACAGCGCCAGGCCGTTTTTTTGTTTTTTTTTTTTTTTTTTTTTTTTTTTTTTTGACAGAGTTTCACTCTTGTTGCTCAGGCTGCAGTGCAATGGCATGATCTCAGCTCACTGCAACCTCCACCTCCTGGGTTCAAGCGATTCTCCTGCCTCAGCCTCCCACGTAGCTGGGATTACAGGTGTGTGCCATCATGCCTGGCTAATTTTCTATTTTTTTAGTAGAGATGGGGTTTCACCATGTTGGTCAGGCTGGTTTCGAACTCCTGACCTCAACTGATCCACCTGACTCGGCCTCCCAAAGTGCTGGGATTACAGGCCTGAGCCACTGTGCCAGGCCAACTTGGTAGTTTCTAATA